>NC_000021.9:42484392-42615784 GCF_000001405.40 Homo sapiens
CCCAAATGTGCAAAATGACAAATATGTATCTTTATGTATATTTTTGTATCCTGACACAGTATGATCCTAATTATGTAATTAAAACCCCCAAACAATAATTCTGTGTCAGATGACTGTATTAGAATGTGCTTACATGACACACAGAAATAGTGTGGAAGGATTGGGCCCAGGGTGGTGGGGCAGGATCCTAGTGTTTAAATGCTTTACAATTGGAATGTACTTGTGTATTATTTGTATAATTTAAAGTTTTTTACTAACTAGCAAAACAAAGCCTCCATTTTTACCCCGATTTTTCAGACTGGTTTAGGCTGGACAAGCTGATTGATTCTTCCAGATTCATTTTCATCAAATTCTCTTCCTCTGCAACCACCTTCCCATCTCCTCCAAAAAGACCCACAGAAAGTTTGCTGGGAATTATATAAACAATGTATGGGTTTGAGGGGAATGTGCTGTTTTGATGAAGACTAAAAGTAAAATCTGTGGTTAGGGCATGAATTATACGTAAATGAAAACTGGGTTCTAAGAGAGTCTGAAGAGACTTCGTTGTATCAGCTAAACATTCCCTCTGTCAACTTCTAACACCATCAATTTGCTCCGCAAATTCTCTCTTCAGGGAAAGTTTCTGCTCAACCCCTGATCAAAGCTACCACGATGGCCTGAGTATTAGCTTCTGAATTATTCAAGGTTTCTCTGTACAATAAGGGCAAGAGGAACCACCGAGTCTTCCAAACAGAAACGGCCCACCATGGGTGCTAGAAGCTGGCAAGCCTCCAGACGCAGGGCCAGGCCCTTGGCAGCCTTAATTCCCACCACAACTAGGAGCACGCAGGCTGGCCTGTAGCATGAGGAGGGAGCTGGGGGTCTTCCTCCCCAGGGATGTCGCACCTCCCCTTCCAGGGAAACAAAACCCAAACACCTCTATGCTCAATTGCAGGAAATAGATATTTGGTATCTGATTTACCCATGAGAAGGAATACACACAAGAGGTTCAGATGCCCTCTCGTGTTATATAACAATGCAACAGGTCCCCGCTGAAAGACAGTGGGAATTTGTACTGAGATCCAGAGAAACGGGCCAATCCCTCCCTTCCCCCAATTCTGTGCTCTGTGGGTACCAGAGGCTCAGAGAATGGCACAGCTGTCCTGTTCTCCACATTTGAATAGGCCGGACTCAGTTTTCTCTGAGTTTTTGGTATTCTCTGGTCACACATTTGCACAGGCTGCCAGAGGGGGTTATTTTGTACTTCATTGGCAAATGTCACTTCCCATGGACTTACATTTTTGTTCAAGAACTTGCCCTGGTACCTGTGGTTCAGGTGAATGAGCTCGGCCGTGCCCTCCTGCTGTCCGTTCACCCAGGTGCCAACATACTTACTGCCCGTCTCCGCGTATAAATAGGTGCCTTGCCCATGCCTGGTTAAGACAAGGGGAACATGGTATTTCGTTCCAGCACAGTGAAAAATCTCCCAGGTTTAAAACACAGACATTGACATTGAGGGAGGCCCAGGCTGTTGCAGGCTCACAAGCGATGTAGCTTCTATATCTGTGTCCAGTCAGAAGGTGCCCCTTGCTCAGTGTGCCCCAAGCACAGGACATTGCCAGAGGCACAGAGGACAGGCCAGCTGGACAGAGGCAAGCCTCCTGTGTGTCAGCTGCTTTCCCCAGGGAAGAGGCAGAGCTAGTGGGAGCTGTGGCTCAGGTCCCCCAGTGGCTCTTCTGTGCCCTCCACTCCCTGGGACTCTTGGGTGAAAGACTCACGTGCTCTGCCCCAACTGAGGTGCAGATGTCAGATACTTGAGTCTACACTTGCACAGAAAGGCATCCTTGCCTCAAAGCCATAGAAAGATTGGACCTGCCTGGCAGAGTTGGTAACTGGGCTTTTGTTATGATTCTGTTCCTCAGTAAGTGTAAACAATCTGCAGACATCATGTTCTCATTACATAAGCAAATCCCGTTAAGACCCAAGATAGAAACCGAACCTTTGATGAGCAAACCACTCTCCAGTGTAGGTGTCATTATTGATGTAGTAGTATACGCCATGGCCGTGCCGCAGGTCATTTGCCCACTCTCCTGAAAGGAACAACACAAAGGCAAGCCCAGGTGAGAAGAAGGGATCGATGCCCTGTACCATGTCTTCAAATTGTTAACCATGGCAAAGGCAGATGTGTTGTGAAGCAAATGAAGCCCATGCACACACAGGCCCCTTCTGCTCAGGAAATCCTGCAGAAGAGAGATTTTTAACAGCACCGACCAAGGCTGCTATCTGTTTCCACTCTGACATCCCTCCACCCCTTCCTTTTGTGCCAGATGGCATAGGTGCTGAGCCACGGTGGACAGTGGGCTAAGAGAGGGCTGAGTCAGGAGTTCACGGGGTACAGAGTGAGGTGTATGGATGTGGGCCACAGCCACCTGCATGTACTGACAAGCACATTTCACAGGTTAGTCAGAGGCACCACGAAGATGCAACGAGGAGGGAGACAAACCAAGGTTGTCTGACCCATTGCCAGTGATCCTAACACCACACTTCATTTACCTTGCAAATGTTTAGAGATCCAGCAACAACTCCAGGGCTTGACCATCTATCCTCAGCCACCTGGCAGCATTTCAGTCTATCTCCCACCCAATCATCTGACTCCAACATGCCACTCTAACCCCAGCTGCACACCAGCTCCATCCGCTGGTGCCATGCCTCTGTTTGAACTCTTCCCTCACCTCCTCACCTCCATACGGCTTCTGCTAAGTCCTTATAGGCTTGGTAGGCAGTACTGAAATTGGCAAGGATATCATAAAATTCATAATACCACTCCATGATGTGGACAACTGCAAACTACTTTTGTCAACCACAGTATGAATCCCTGCACTAGAAAACTCAAAACGTCCTCAAATCTTACAGCTCACTTAGGAAAGAAACTTAATAGAGGTCTCCCAAAGGTGACTGCTCTTAAAAACGTGCATATTACACCAAGTCATTAAGCTAAATGATATGTTTTGAGACTATGAATAATAAAAAGCAAATGTTGATCAATTTGTTGATCAAAGAGAAAAGAAGGAATTATATTTCTATTCTCTCTATAGAAAACATTACAAAATGGTTGCCATATGGAGAAGCATTCAAAGAGTATTAGCTAACAAAGGTAGAGAAAAGCTATTCTAGAAGTATGTCAGACATTAAAACTCAGGCTACTTAGATTCTGTGATGTTTGTGGTATTTTTAAATTTTTAACTTATTTTGATTTATCATTGCAAATGAAAATTCACTTTTATACCAACTTTATATTTTCTTTTTTTTAAAGAGGTTCTCAAAACTTACATAAGCTTCTGGCTTACACAAAAACTGGACCCACTTCCACATGAAGATAAAGAATACCCAATAGGCTAAGAAAATGCTAATTATTCAAGTAATATTTGTTTATGTGAATAACCCCAAAATTTATCTGCAGAAGGAACTTCTACATATTTATTTCCTCAATCATCCCATTATTTACTCAGCACCTACAATGTCCTGGGCACTTTGTGAGATGAACGAAGAGCTGTACAAAGGACAGTGCATGTCCCCAGGGCGCGAGCACCAGCCTGAGGATGGAAGGTTGGCACCTGAGCAGCAGCTGAGGACAGGGAAGGCAGCACGAAAAGCTGCATGGCACAATTTCAAAAAGTGGGTAAGTCATTCAGAAAAGAGCAGGCTTACCAAAAATTCATGGAGAGAGGGAAGGTGGCAACTGCTAACAATTAAGGAAGAGGACTAGGTCCCATGATGTGATGTGTGACAGGAACAATGTGAACAAGAGAGATGAAGATCCCCAAATTGAGATAATTCAGTAAAAAATACTTCAGGTCCCTGAACCTAAATTAACCATGAGGATGTGCAAATACCTAGAGGGATTTGTCTGGGTCTTAAGGGGCAGTGATGTGCCTGGATTTGTAACATTTGCCAGGTTCTGTGGTGTAAATACTCACACCGCGGCCAATTTCAAGCTACACATGGAGCTGGGAAGAGATGCACAGAATGGGTTTTTGTGAGCTACTATGAGGGGGTTCCAGCACAGCCCTGGGGCATAGAGACCTCAGCTGAAACAGGTACATCATTTGGTTTCTTCCCAACAAAACTTCATGACAAAATTATTACATCCCTCCTCTCTTGGCCATGTCAGAGGATCTCCAGGGTGTCATGGTGAGAAAAATATATTACATATTTTGCAGAAAAATTTCAAAAATAAAAGAGAACAGTTAAGTTGCAAAAGACACTAAATTTTGCACCAAGAGGACGGTGAGCAAAATTTTTTAAAGTCCCAATCTACTTAAAAAACCTGTTAAGAGGCTCGGCCCAGCATTTTGTAATGCCACCACAGGGACCCTGCACAAATAGAGAAGGTAATTCAGAGAAAAGTCACCTGCTGAGGCACATCTCTAACAGCTATAAGTCAAGTTTCCTTTTTTGAGGTGAGTGACATTTGTAAACTTTATTATTGTGGCTTTAAATTTGCACTTAATTTTTTTTTTAAAGTCTTTCTACCCCAATCCTATACTTTCTGATCATTCTTGAACTTGTCAACTGAGGTTTTTTCCAACTATATTTCTTCTCAGGAGTAACTCCCAGTTGGTTGGTTGGTTGGTTGGTTGGTTGATTTGTTGGTTAACTGGTTGGTTGGTTGGTTGGCTGGTTGGCTGGTTGGTTAGTTGGCTAACCGATTGGTTGGTTGGTTGGTTGGCTGGCTGGTTGGTTGGTTAACTGGTTGGCTGGGTGGTTGGCTAGTCAGTTGGCTGGTTGGTTGATTGGTTGGCTGTTTGGTTGGCTGGTTCGTTGGTTGTTTGGTTGGTTGGCTAGTCAGTTGACTGGTTTGTTGATTGGTTAGCTGTTTGGTTGGCTGGTTGGCTGGTTGGTTGGTTGGTTGGTTGGTTGGCTGGTTGGCTAATTGGTTGGTTGGTTAGACAGTTGGTTGGTTAATTGGTTGGTTGATTGGTTGCTTGGTTGGCTAGTCAGTTGGCTGGTTGGTTGATTGGTTGGCTGTTTGATTGGCTGGTTGTGGGTCAGTTGGCTGGTGTGGAGCAGGTGCTCCTTGGGTAGAGCAGTTTGTCTGGCACTTGGGATTGAAGACAATTTAAAATGAGAAGCTCTCCAAGATGCTCCTCCCCCCTCAAATGCTGGTTGGTCACTGGTTTGCCATGCTGGCCCATGGTCTTGCCAAGTTGGCTCCCTAAACTGCTGGGTCAGCCAAACACAGGAGAGAAGGAGCCCACACTTATGGGGAAACACTCGGTGTCAGACCCTGGGCAGGGTTCCGTGCACTTGCCACAGCATTTGGTATGTGTAATCGCTGAAATATGGTTTTACAGATGCAGAACCTGAAAAGCAGAGAGACTGCATGCATTCCCCAAGGTCCCACAGCTGGTGGGTAGCAAGACTGAAATGAAAATTGGAGTCTGTCTAACACCATGCTCTCTTCTCCACAAGCATCCCAACAGTCAAGTGCTCATTTTTTCCAGCTCCTGCCATTCGGGGGCTTCCAAAAAACCCAGGTTCAAGTTATCATGTCATTCTTCTTTCTCCACAATGTCATTCTTAAACTTCTTTGTTTTGATGAGTTCTGTTTGACAGGCAACAAGGCCAGCAGGGAATAGGGATGCTCTTTCTCCCCCTTAACCTCAGAGTCCTCAGTTGGCCCTACACCCCCAACCCTCAGCATCAGTACATGGGGTCTAGGCCTCCCCCACATCTGGCACCCACCCTCCCCTCCATCTCATCCCCCACTACCCCTAAAAACCTCGGCCTTCCTGCCTGTATCCAAGTCACCCGCCACCCAGGACCGTCTCCCCACTCCTCTCCTGCAGCACTATAGCCTCTGCTGGCTCCTGGACTCCCTAATTGGACTTGTGTGACCATCTGGGAGACAGGTAGGGTACTGGACTTTATGCCACAGGGTCCTGACGTTGAACACACTGCCCTGCACAAAACCATTCTGGCCCATTGTGATGGCAGCCAGCCAAGATACACTGTTATGAATAACTCAGCCATACATTAACTGAGATTTTGTGATTGGAAGAGTATTGGCTTACTATGTTATAATTAATATTATAACTTCTGACCTCAGTTTCCATTGCTGCCTTCATGAAGTAAGACACTTATTTAAGCTTTTGTCAGAGAAGAAATCTCTGGGTAGTGGCTAAATCTTGCACCCTTTAAGATACAAAGCCATCTGGAGAATCAAAAATCCCAACTGTTACCAGAAGAGCTTTATATGTTAGTGTGGCATAATAAGAAATATTGGTCTTTATTCATGGTTCCCAGCACAGAGCTCCTAAAACCCTTGACATTTCCTGACTGATAGAAATGTTTTTGTTATTCAAAATGAGACTCTTTTGACCACACCTGAACTTATGCAAATGAGGCCCAGGATGGCCTCAAGATGGGACTGAACACCAGAAAGACCAAGTGATAAGAAGGATAGAACCTCCAGCCCCACCCACCAACTTTTGGTAAAGAAGAAGGAAGGGGCCAGAGATTAAGCTCTGTAAAAACTCTTGAGCAAGATTTGTTGAGCTTCTGGGGTGATAAACATATCATGTGCCAGGAGGGTGGTGCACTCCACCTCCACAAGGACAGAAGCTCCTGTGCTTGGGAACCTTCCAGGCCTTGCCCTCTGTACCTCTGAATCTGGCTGTTCATCCATATTCTTTATAATATCCTTTACAGTAAACATGAGTAAAGTGCTTTCCTGAGTCCTATGAGCCGCTATGGCACATTATCAAACCTGAGTAGGGTGTTGTAGGAACCCCCAATTTGTAGCCGAGTCAGGTAGAACTGTGGGTACCCTCCGGATCCACAACTTGAGGTTGACATCTGAAGTGGGGCAGTCTTGGAAACTGAGCCCTTAACCTGTGGGGTCTGTGCTAACTCTGGGTGGTGTCAGAATGGAGTTGCATCATTGGAAACTCAGTTGGTGTTCACAGAAGACTGGAGAAGTACATAGCATGGAAAATCCATGCATTTGGTGTCAGAGAAACAGTTACCCATTTTTAACCTTCATATTCAAAATTCCTTAAATCCCTTATCCTAAATATCTTCGTGTGTGTGTGTGTTGTTCAAATTGTATCAACATCTACACTAAAATCAAAAGTGACAAGAATGAGATTAGGTGCATAAGGATTTGGAAAGAATTAAATTAAGCCCCAAATTAAATTGTTTAAAGTTGATTTAAAAAGCAGATGGTGCTTCTTATAGAGCAAGCCTTCTGGGATTTATGAAACAAAACAAAACAATTTCTATCTAACAGGGATGGTATTAAAACCCTCCATCTTGGTCTCAGAATTGGACAGAATCATCACTGACATCTATTAAAATAAGAACCACCTACTGGTTCTTATTTTATCTAGGAGCAAAGCAAGCAACTATAGCTCGCACTTTGTAAGAATATGTCCTCCTCACTAAGAAGTGATGCTGTCACAAGTGGTACATCACAGTCCTAGCCCCAGTTACTGAGTGCTCACTATGGATCAGGCAAGGTTGCAGGTGTCTCCCTGTGTTTATCCATTGAATCTTCATGCTACAGATGAGAAACTGAGGCAAGGAGATGTGAAGTCACCTATGCAAGCTCACACCTATTGTCACCAGAGTCCAAGGTTAGGGTCACAGATCTTTTTGGAAATCTGAAGAAAACTAGACAATTTCTTTCTTCCTAGGGAAAAAACAAAAAGCCCAGAACACAGAATTTTATATACACTTTCTGAAGACTCACAACACGCTCCCTGCCGGTCCCCCTGCCCAGGTTTGGGATATCACTAATGTGGTCACACCAGGTGACAACGGCACAAGGGGCGGCAGGGAGGTTCTTGGAAATAAAGGAAAAAGAATCCTCCTCAAACATAACATTGGCCTGTAAGGACTTATGGCACAGGTAGGAAAAGTCAGTTTAACAAGGCAGGAAGACTCCCAGACAGGAAGCCCTGATGTAAGGAAACACTCGATCTGAAGAAATAACACATCCGTCAGATGGCGGGGTTGGTCAGAAATGGAAAATGCAAAGACAGGTTCAGGAAGATGAATGCCGCAGAGCAGCTGAAGCCGTGGGTCCACCAGCTGCGAGGCCTGCGTCCACTCAGGAGCCTCCCTTTTGTCTGCTCCCAGGACATGGACATGCTGGCCACAGGGACAGATTTCCCACTACAGATTCATTAGTGAGTTAATTAATTACAAGGCTTTCCTATTTCTGCATCAACACTGTGAATATAGTAACACGATCTGTGTTCGTTGAATGAGTAACTGGAGAACTTTAAGCTTTCTCATACATGTCAGTATTCACAGACAAGTTCAGTCATAAAGAAAGAAAAACTTCTGTAACACGAAAATCTGCTTAGTGATAACATTTTACCTTCATATCTGGATCCATCTGGATATATAAAAGTGCCTTGACCGTGCTTTTTATTTCTAACATATTCTCCGATATATCGAGCACCATTTTTAAATTTGTAGATCCCCTGAAACACATTGATTATATCATTCATATCATTGCTGAATGTAGCATTTGCTAACAGAGTATTAAATAGAGAAAACCATCCAGTCAAGTCAACGGTTCTGACCTGGCCATGTCTTTTACCGAATTCGTAGCTCCCTTCGTAGGTGTCCCCGTTGGGTAGCCGTGCCCTCCCACGTCCGTGCCTTTCGCCTGCCTCATTCCGACCCCCCTCATATTCCTGGGTAATGAAAATTGACACAATTACAGCTACCATTCATTAAGCGCTAACCAGGTGCTAAGCATTTTGTAAATATCATACCCTTGAGTCATCCCACTATGCTAAACCCCCGGCACTATACTCAATTGTCCCACCTTTCCCACCTTAAAGTTGAGGTAGGTAACAACGCCTGGGCTAGATGAGGCACTAGACCAAGGCCACACCCCAGCACATGTCCAGGGCGGAAGCCTCGTTCCCTCCCTCCAACACAGAGCTTGCAATTCATTGTGATAATCCTTTACCCTGTAAGCAAGGTTAACCAATTTGTGAAAAATGCTAGATACTCTAAGCTGTGTTCTTAGTAGGAACATGCTTGAAATAGTACATGCGGGTAGAACAGTTCAAGTCCACACAAATACCTCCCCGTTTGCTTCCTTCAGTAATCCAGGATTTCAAAGGCAAATGCCCAGAGAGAAGCAACTCTTCCCTCAAATGATCCCTGGGGCGGGGTGTGGCCTGAAGAGACCTTTGCCCTGCAAGGAATTTCCGATGGAAGGGACAGGTTGGAGGGCACTGAGGAGTACACAGGGCTCCCTTGCTGATTAAGTTTATCTTATTTTTAAGACCCCTAGCAAGAGACTTAAGGTTCGAACACTCATGACCCAATGCTGCAATAATTATGTATCTATCTGTGGTTTGTTTTTGTTTTTGAGACAGGGCCTCACTCTGTTGCCAAGGCTAGAGTGCAGTGGCACAATCTCAGCTCACTGCAACCTCCGCCTCCCAGGCTCCAGTGATCCTTCCACCTCAGACTCCTGAGTAGCTGAGACTATAGGCATGCGCCACCATTCCCAGCTAATTTCAAAATTTTTTTGTAGAGACAAGGTCTCACTATATTGCCCTGGCTGGTCTCAAAGTCCTGGACTCAAGCGATCCTTGGCCTCCCAAAGTGCTGGAATTACAGGTATGAGCCACCATGCCTGCTCAATTATGTGTCTATCTTAAAAGTAAATAAATAAAAAATGTGATCAAAGCTTGCAATTTTCCTATCCTTCAGAAAATAAATGTTCCTTAGCACCTAATACATGGGTATAGAGTGAATATAGTAAATAATAAAATGCTGAAAGCATCCAGTAATGATTTAACATGGGTATCTCATAACATCACACTGTATTTCTTAAATATACATAATAAAATTTATTAAAAATTAAAATTAAGAAATTGAATTGGATGTATATAGACTTATTATAACACAAGTACTGACACACTACATTGAGGACTTCAGAAATAAACGTCTGTGCAATTCTTGCCCTTTTCTAGCACTGTTTGGACCACTAATTCCTGCCTAGAATATAAGGTAAAAATCTGCGACCTCACAGATTTGTTTCAGGGTTAGTTTACATCAAAATGTACAAAAGTCCCCTCCTTCTATCCAAGAGGCTTCCCAATACACCCAACACTGAGCCGCTGGGGTGGCTGAATAAGACAGAAATCCTTTAAAATGACCCCAAATGTGATCTGAACCTAAAAATTATAGGCACTAAAAAGTTACAAATCAGTGGGGCCATTTGAGGAGACAAACTAGAAATCTTGCTGGTCAAGTGTTGCAGGTTGGGTTCACCTAGAAACAGACCCTGAACAAGTGATTTTTTTTTTTTTTTGAGACAGAGTCGCTCTGTTGCCCAGGCTGGAGTGCAGTGGCGTGATCTCGGCTCACTGCAACCTCTGCCTCCCGGGTTCAAGCCATTCTCCTGCCTCAGCCTCCCGAGTAGCTGGGATTACAGGTGCCCGCCACCATGCCCGGCTAATTTTTTGTATTTTAGTAGAGACAGGGTTTCACCGTGTTGCCCAGGCTGGTCTCAAACTCCTGAGCTCAGGCAATCTGCCCACCTCGGCCTCCCAAAGTGCTGGGATTACAGGTGTGAGCCACCGCGCCTGGCCTGATTTTTTTAAGTGCTCTCCTGGGAGAAAGTAGTAAAGAGGGCAGGGAAGTAGACATGAAAGGGCAGGCAGCTAAGGAAGGATGCCTTTGCAGGTGAAGTCCCAGACTTGGCCTAATCCAACAGGGACTCTGGGGGCATCAATCGCACTGCAGACTTTGTCCTGCTTCTTGCACTAGCTACTGGCTGTCTGGCCGGATGTGAATTTCAGGCACTTCTGGCTCTCCATACTGGGCAGGTAGTTCCAGCGCACAGAGGTGATAGCTTGAGTAGCAAATCAGGCGGAAGCTGGGAGATGAGTGCCCAGAGCTAGCAAAAAGGTCTGGGCAGGCACTGACAGCACCACTGCAGAGTCGCTAGATTTTTCAGTTAATTCTGAAAGTACCTCAACTCTGTACTGTGCATGCAGACCATAGTGGCTGAGGTTCCCTATCTGTCAGCCATGGAGAGGTCACTCTCTGGAGTAGGGAGGAACTACTCTCTGGGTGATAGAAATATTCCCACACAGAACCCAGCTCACAGGCTGGATGTGCCCTCTTTCTCCTCTCTGCTGCCTAACTCAGGAAATAACTCCAAAGACCTGGGTCAGTTCAGATGGGGACTGAAGAAAGCACATGTGAGGATACGCCTATAAGGTAATATCTTCAGGAACCCTCTCCTGAGCCCAGGGCCTCCTCAGCATTTCTTGGAGGCTGCCAGGAAGCAACTATCCTCCATGCATCTAAATGCCGGGGGAGCAAATCTCAGCTACAGAAATGACTTATTCAAGGGCAGTATGGCAGCGTGGGATGATCTGCTCATCCGAGAAAACTGCCTCGATGGGAATTAACACAGGGAGGAGGAAACTTCCAAAGCCTTCCGCTGGGAAATCTTTGCCTTTAATGGGAGGCAGGATGGGGGTGGGGGAAGAACGAGGCGGCATGTGGTAACCAGACGTCACAGCGTTTCACTTTTCACCATCAACTTCCAGGACGCACGCAGGTGTGTCTGGCGTGGCCTTCGTCCCTGCCGGGGATCCTGGGGAGCTGTGGCTCAGACCTCTGGTTTCTGCGCCTCCTCACTCTCCAAACCCAACCTCGAGGTTCCCCCGCCGCTGCGCACCCTGGGAAGCCCTTTCTCACCAGGAGCTCTCACCCCAATATCATTCTCTCCCTCCTCCTCCAACTCCTCCGAGCCCAGGTCCGACATGGTCTCGCCCCAGCCTGGATCACAGCCGCAGCGCCTCTAGCAGGTGGGTAGCAACCGCCTCCACCGCCGCGTCCCGCGTCGCCATGGAGACGCGGCCGGTCCCGCCTCCCTCCCAGCCCGGAAGATGGGGAGCGGGGACAGGCGACGCGGACGAAGCGGGAGGAGCCACTGGCAGCCTTTGCGTACTGTCATAGCAACGGGAAGGGCACCTCGACCAATCACCGCCCGGGAATACGGAGGGGCGGGGCGGAAGGGACGAGGTGGAGCCAGTGGCAGCACTCTGGTGCCGTCATAGCAACGAGGGGCCGCTTCGGCCAATCACTGCTCGGGAAGCGAGGGGGCGGGGACTGGGCAGGGCCTGAGCGGGTTCTGTGCCTGGCTGCCCACCGGCTCTCTGACCTGGACCTCGCCGTCGCTGGCCCCTGAAATCCATCACTTTTGTCGGCTGTTCTGTGACGCCACAACGAGGAGCCACCTGGGTACTGGGCCCTCAAGAGGAAGGACGCGGGAAACGCGTCCGGGCCAACTCTCGAGAGGGTTTCACCCCTGCCCAGTGCGGGCACTGCCCGCTCCCTTCCGCCCCCAGGCCTCGCAGGCCCCTCCGGGGATGCTGCCCACCCCCACTTACCTTTCTAGGCTCTGCTGACCCTTCGGGATTCGCGGCTAGCTGTGATGTGTCCGCCAAGATCTCTTCTCTTGTCTGTAAACAACTTCACTCTCAAGGAGGCAGCTCTGGCCTCTCAGCAGGTGCGGCCTACAGTGATGTCCGTCCGGGTTTTACATCCTTCCCCGACCTCGACATGAGTCCCAGCCCCCTCGGGCCTCTGACTCTCAGGTGTCCCCTACGATCGCCGTCCTCTCCTCTCGCTCCTGGCTCCCCTACACTGTCACACACCCACACAATCACAGACGCACACGCATGTACACGTGCAGGCTTGGAAATCTGCTTTACCTGACGCACTCCGCCTGCCGAAGGCCCCTCACATCTCCCATTTCCTCTGCCATCATCCCAGACTGCAAAGCTGTGTTATTTGTTGTTGCTGCAGGAGCTGGGGAGGAGTGACTGAATAACTATAGGATTTGGTCTTGATGGGAGAATCCCAGAAGCCAAATCCACGCGGTGAATAAGCTGCTGATCTTCCAGAGCACACATCCCCTAGAGATTCTTCCCAATGCTAATATGAAAGGTTACAACCATAACCCATCATCAGGCCCAAATATATTACTTACTGAATAAATACACAAGTTACAACAACACACGAGATTCCAAAATTATGTCGTTTTTTAGATGCAAAGATAAAAATGTTGTAAACACCAAAATTTAACAGCTTTTCTTATGGGGAAAAGTGGGGAGTTAGGGATAACAGATGATTATTATTTTCTTCTCTACATATTGGCAGTTACCCAGTTACTACAATTAAGCATGTCCTATTTTTATAATAAAATGCCAGAAGCATTTTAAATGTTAGAAATCTAGAATGGTAACATAAGTATATGCAAATAAATACTCGTTTTTTACATTTAAAATGTCAGAAATTTAGCTTTCAAATTTGTCCTAACAATGACAGTAACCAGTGTTTACTAAGTTCTGACACTGTGTGTGGGCACTGTTTTAAGAATTTTATGAGTTATCTTATTAAATCCTCACTATCATTCCTCCATTGAACATCTAAGGAAAGGGAGTTATAGGGGGTTATAAACTAAAAATAACCTCCTAAGCCCCACCACAGCCAACTGAATGGACCCCTCTTGGCCAAGAGGGCCCCAGAAACCTTAAAAACTGCGTTCTCAGCCATGATGGGAAGGGAGGTCGAACATGCCTCACTAATACCCTTGTGCAGTTTAGACACAACAACTAACAAGCATTAATGTTAAAATAGAGATCATAAGACTGACAGAATGGACGCTGTGGCAGTAAGATACCAACTTACAAACAGGACCTAAGGCCATGCCAGGCATGAGTTAAGTCATGCATCCCTACACTTAAAAGAATAAACTATATTTTAACTACCTGGAGAAGGTCTTATGACTCGTGTTTTACATCCTGTACTTGAGCAAACAATCTTACTGTGAATCTCTCAAATCGTATCATGAGTTCCTCAGACTGTTGATGTACTAATTAATACGTAAACTACTGACACTGAAAAGGATACTGATTTGTTTCTGAATCATGACGTTTCACTGATTGTCTTGTGCATATGCAGAAAACATTTTAGCCTGTATGTTGTCATCTGTAGCCAATGACTGTAACCTCTATATTGTCCCTCCAATGAAAAAAGACAACTGCAATATGAGGAGTCCCCTTCCCATTCCTCAACTTTCTTATAAAAGCACTGCAACTTGTAACAGACTTTGGAACACACCCAACTTTGTTGGTGTGTCTTCCCCATTCAATCTTCAAATTTGGCTTTCAATAAGCCTTTATCAATTTCCGCCTCAACAGCCTTAACTTTGGTCGACAGCAGTTAAGATCCTTACCCAAGATCATACAGCTAGTGGGATTCAAATCAAGCCAGCTGACCCAAGAGCAACTGTTGCCCATCACTATACTGCCTCCCAGATCTGTGATATAAAGAAATAACTATAGTTTTCTGGCAGTGACTAAACCATCTACCAAGCAGAGGACCACTAGTTCAAATGCCTTGGATTGCAAACACCAGAGAGTGGCTTAAGCAAACCACATGGTTAAGCAAACCCTGTTCTGGATCACATCATTAGCAGCTAGACGTCTAGCTATAGCTATTAAATCCTAAGGTTTACAATTTGATTTCTATCCCATACGAATTAGCCAGGGTCTTCCCTCCCAAATCTTTCAGTCAATCTATAGTAATTTCACCACACTGTGGGTTTGGCAATTATCCAAATAATTGACACCAAAGGCAAGAAGGGGTGAACAACAGGATGGGCCTCCCGGCATCTCCTGCAGCAGCACCTGGACTGGATTCTAAATTCCTCCTTCCAGAAAGAAGCTGCATCCCAGCCCAGATCCAGCTGAGAGCCACAGCTGCCAAGAGGCAGTCGGAGCTCTGGGCACCTCTCTGTGCACCCAGGAAGCCCCAGGAGGACTTCATCAAGCCAAGTCGATGCCTCACTCAGAGCCCCAGGATCCCTGACTCCTAACCCCACAGTGACCTGGAAATGCCTGGTGATGCCAGAAGCAGCGCTTTCCAATTCTGAAGGCCCTCAAAATGCTTGTTCAGCCCACCTTCCTCCTTTCCTGGGGCGTGGGAGTGGTGGGGAGATGAGAGGCAGAAAGATGAGGACATCATCAGGAGGTTTTTCCTTACTGGAAAATGAGAGGAAATCCTCTTTCACTACTTAAAAATCAAAAGGGGCTGTCCATATTCCTCTGGCAGGGGTCTCCCATCATCCCCCGCGAGGCATTCCCATTATCCCCTGCGGAGCTTTCCCATCATCCACAGAGGCCCTTCCCATAACCCCCAAGTGGGAAGTTCGCGCAAGTGCGGCTCTGCAGGGAGGAGGGAGGGCCGAGGGGAAGGCCCTCGAGAGAGTGGAGGGCAACAGTGGCCACGGTTCCTCTGTACTTCGTTTCTTCCGTAAGAAATGATCTTCTTGTCCTTCTTAAGTATAAATGGAGCGATCCATTTCCTTTTACCCATTAACCCCTTCAAAAAGAAGAAAAACAGTCCCAGGCTGGCCATGGTTGATCTCTGCAGGGGCGCTGGTCAGGGTGCCTTCTGCTTCCTGGTGGGATGGCCTAGGCCGGGGAAACTGTTGAAACCACCCTGGGGCTGCCTTCTGTATTTTCCACAACCTTCCAGGCCCACCTCCCAGCTGGAGGCCCTGCAGCTTGGCAGTTGCCATGGCGACTGAGTCCCTAAGTGTGTCTCTTCTGAGCTCTCCTGGACAGTGTGGAGAAAAGGCCTTAAGAACTGAGGGGCTTCAGTAAAATGCAAACAGATTTTTTTTTTGTAGGCACTGTTCAGATAAAAAGCAGGGACTTTCAACAAAATGAGTTCAGGTCCATCTTAACTATAGAACTATGAGGTTGTTTATTAGAATAATTGTACTCTGGTAAATTTACCAATTTCATATATATGCATATTTATAAACAAACATATTAGAGTATATAGATAGAAAAAGTTCTATCTACATGTAGAATCGAAAACTTTTTAAAATAGTGTTGGTAGTATCACACATTGCCATTTAGTGGATAGAGACAGACCCGAGATTGGAGCCCTAGCTCCGTATACTTCTTTCTGAAGTCAGTCTACTCATCTGTAAAATGGGCTGTTGTGAGGTCAAAATTAGATATTCATAATGAGAGTAGCATAGTGCCTAGCACAAAGTAAAGCACTTAGTAAATGGGAGCTATTACTATTAATTGTACTGCTGTTAATCTTACAATAGGTTAAGCACCTTTTGTCTATCAGTATGTTTGGGGGGGAATTTTAACTCAAGTTTATCTTAATCGTTTTCAGTCGTGTTTTTTTCTTGAAAAGAATCAAACTGCCAAAGATGATTCTGTCAGTTGTTTGTGACAATCAGAAGTTAGTCTGTGACGAACAGATTAGTTTTAATGCTCATATTCATTAGCACTAATATACATAAGGGTGGGGAGAGACTGAAGCTTCTGGAAATATATAGACAGGTAGATTCTTAAGCGTAAGTAGGTATTTGAACTGTTTGTGGATTATGTCTCATAAAATTGGCACCCAGCAAGGAGGAAAATGCCAGATACACACACGCCCATACCTGAGGTATGTAGGTCAATGGAAGGCTATTGAAACACAGTTGTCAAGAGAGAAATGTAAAGTATTTTTCACCCAGGAAGTGAGATTATTCAGTGATGCATCAAAACCAGTAGGGAAAACAGTTTAGTGGACACCAGTGTGGAGACGAGATGTCAGAAAATTGGATAGACTCGAATTTCACGTTGGGTAGCAACTCAAGGACATAGCTCAGTGCTTGGCACATAGTAAGTGCTCAACCAACACAGGTTTATCAAATTAAATGTTAGATATTATTTTGCAACAGAGCTGTGCTTTATGCAGCAGTAGGAAAAGAGAAAAATTGACGTGAAATTTTTTCTTTTTCTTGTTTTTTTATTCTTAAATCACACTCCATTTTCCGAGGGCTCTCTCAGGATATCAGTTGCTTAACTACGTCTGAGTGTCTTCTAGGTCGAGTACTAGGGGATTACAAGGAAATGAGAAAGAAATTACAGACCCATTGGGGGGCAAATTCTACATTAATCTACACTGTTAAAAAAATTTACCAGGGCCGGGAGCGGTGGCTCACGCCTGTAATCCCAGCACTTTGGGAGGCCAAGGTGGGTGGATTGCCTGAGCTCAGGAGTTCAAGACCAGCTTGGCCAACATGGTGAAACCCTGTCTCTACTAAAAATACAAAAAATTAGCTGGGCATGGTGGCGGGCGCCTGTAATCCCAGCCACTCAGGAGGTTGAGGCAGGAGAATCGCTTGAACCCGGGAGGCAGAGGTTGCAGTGAGCCGAGATTGCACCATTGCACTCTGGCCTGGGCGACAAGAGACAAGAGTGAAACTCTATCTCAAAAAACAAAAACAAAAACAAAACTATTATGCCTTCTGGCTACATGTTAATCCTTCATTCCAAAGTGGAGGTCACTCTTTCCTACTGGTGGATATGTAAGGCTGGTTCTAGTTTTGATGCTGCAGATAGCCTCACTCTAACCAGCAGTTGTGGTGGGAGATCCTGTGCTACATGGGGCTGTACTTTTCAAGGTCTAAGGGTGGATCAGATTTTCTAGAAAAGGGACAGGGAAAAAGGTGGCATGCTGAACCACGTGTCCATGATTTTCCCAGAATAAGGCTCCCCCTACCCAACTTACAGGAAGGTCATGATCAAATAAGATAACGAGGATGAAATGATTTGGAAGTGCTATAGAAATGTAACGTGTATATTTAGCTCAGGTTTTAAAATCTTTTAATTATGTAACATTTGATGCATGCAAAAGAACACATATTCACGTATGCCAGCAAAGTAATACAGTGAACACCTGTGAACCCCTGCCCAAAGTAAATAGATGAATGAGTAAATGAAATAAATATTAACATCTGAATGCATAGATCTTTGTCCACATCTCAAATTCAGCTCTTTGGATTGCAGCTTTATAGAATTGAGAGATTGCTGAGCCTAAATACATGTTGCTGCATTGCCTCCGAGAATGGCCGGACCTATCCCCACTCTCACCAAAACAGAGTGTGGGACTCACTGCTCCCTCGCCTACTGTAAGTCCTATTTTTCTTCTTTGCTAATCTGATGGACAGGCAGTGTCTCATAGTGACTTTAGTTTGTATTCATATTTTCTCGATTATTTGAGAAGATAAGCATTTTTCCCCAAATGTTTATTCTTCACCTATGATAACCCTTGTTAATTATTTAGATTAGTTTTTTGCAGGCCACTTTCATATATCTGTATATGTTGTTTTCTCTTTCTGAAATGTGATGCCCATGTTTCTCTACCTGGTGAACAATTTGTCAACTTTAATATCTTACCAGATGTAACCTTCCTAGGGATGCTGTTTCTAACTGCTGCCGGCCCCTTCTTACCATCTCTCTGGTTGTGCTTCTGACGCATTCCCTACACAACTGGAACGTGTTTCCAGGTCAGCCTCCCTAAGCACCTCCCAAGGCCTCCACCCCACAGTGTCGCACAGAACTTGACACATACCAGATGCTCCAATTATTAAATATTACTGAGTACTTTTAGAAAATTGGGAACATACAATAAAGTATAATGAAGAAAATAAAGAAAACCAATAATCTCACTTCCCAAAGATAATAACTACTGCCATTTTGGTGTGAATCCTTTCATGCTTTTAAAATGCATATATATGTCTATTTAATTGAAATCATTCTATTTGTCACTTACATTATCACATGTCATTATATGGTGCACATGTCAAAAAAAATTTCCAAAGTGTTTTAAAGACAATAGTATTTCACCTTAAGGATATACCAAAATTATTATGTCACAAATGTTGGATAAGAGAATGAATGAAAATCTTTAATATGAAGTTGAACAAGGTAAGGGGTATTACTTAAGGAAATTATACTCCTTTTTTTTTTTTTTTTTTTGAGACAAGGTCTGGCTCTGTCATCCAGGCTGGAGTGCAGTGGCATGATCACAGCTCACTGCAGCCTAGACCTCCCAGGTTCACGTGATCCTCCTGCCTCAGCCTCCCGAGTACCTGGGAATACAGGTGCCTACCACCACACCTGGCTGATTTTTTGTATTTTTTTTGTAGAGACAGGGTTTTGCCATGTCGCCCAGGCTCAACAACATGTGGATCAAGAGATCCACTCACCTCAGCCTCCCAAAGTGCTGGAATTACAGGTGTGAGCCACCACACCCAGCCTCCATTTTGTTTTTAAGAAAACAATGTGTCGGGTGTCTTTTCTCAGTATGTCATTCACTCATGTTTCTTGGGTGACTACCAGAAGTTCCTCAGCTCTGGGTACTGTTGCTGTCCTCCTCTCGTGGCGCTGGCATACCTGCTTGTTTGAATTGCCTTTCTCCTCTCCTCAAGCCCATTTTTAATTATCTAGTTACTAGGACAAGCATCTAAATAGTTGTGGAGCAAATACAGTTATCGGAAGAGCTAAATGAACCATTTCCCTCTCCCTCTACAAACAGGAAAGCCAGAAAGGTTTTAAACTGGACTGGTAATTTTAGGTTCCCCAGAGCTGGCTTTGTGCTATCTGACCACTGAGGCCCTGCACTGGGAGGAACCAGACGGGGCCCCTGGCAACCACATCCGGGTGGTACTAGAACATCTCAGTGCTGTTATCTATGACCCCAGAACAGAGTCTCAGTTCAGGGGCCCTAAAAGAGTTTCCCCACTGAACAAGCATGGAAATGTGAAAATACGTATTTATTAAACAAGATAAGTGAAGATTGTTTCATTTAGAATGTGATTCACTAATGCATTTCTTTGATTACTTAGTTATCTTGGTATGTTCAAAATATTGTGGCTTTCTTTTTAGCAGTTCTTTATATTAATACATTTAAAGAGGGTCCCAGAAGGGCACCAGGCTTTAGGATGGCTAGAAATGGGGACATGGCCTGGTCATTTTGGGTCATCTTGGCCCTGGTCTCAGTTCCAAGGATGTGTTGGAGAGAGTATAGGGGTGATAGCTTAGGAAAACTCTCCGGAGTGAAGAGGCAGCTTGGCTTTATTAGGTTGTTTTCTTCACCTTAATCCTGAAAACCTTTTCAAGCTAACTGGCAGCAAGTTGGACATCGAGGTATGTGTTTAGTTCTAGAAACTTCTCTATGTGTGTCATGATATTTTCTTTTGTTACTATCTTAAGTCATGCACATATATGATATGTATTACAATGTAGTAGAAAAAGTAAAATTTATACAGTAAAGGGAGAAAAAGGACCCAGAAAGCAAGAACTCATTAGCCTGCCTGTGCCCAGCATGACCCTGCAAGACAGGCGTCTTACTCCCAAGTTCACTACCAGAATAAATGAATTAATTGACTCTAAAAGGGTTTTGAGAACAGTTTCAAGTTATTATTGCTTATGCTTCCTCCCCTACATTCCAGATCCCACAAAGAAGCCACTTCTTGGGCTGACCTTTTTATCATCCACCTCAAACTCAACAAGGGCAAAACTGAACTTCTTCTCTCCGCTTTATTTCCTTATCTTAATGAAGGGCCCACTTGCTACCGGTTTACTAAGCCAGAATCTGAACATCATCAATGTCAGGGACCAGTTCTTTCCTTCCCCCTTCCCCAACCAATCTCCAAATCCTGGAGAGTCTTCCTTCCAAATTATTCCAAATCCATCTACTTTTTTCCATTCCCACTGCTTCTTCCTTAGTCAGGACACCATCATTTTCTGCCAAGAAGACGCCAACAGCCCAGGTGGTCTCCCTGCCCTTAGTCTCACTGTCTTCTAATCTATTTGCCACACTGACCAGAATAATCTTTTAAAACCACACATCTAATCACGTTGTTCTTCAGTTTAAAATCTTTCAGTAGTGAAGTCCAGACTCCCTCATTCGATTATTAGGCTCTGAATGATGTGGCCACTAAGTCCCTCCCCAGCCTCTTCTCTTGCCTTATGTTCACACACCACACTCTCTGCTGTGGCCATAATGACTTTCAGTTCCCCAAACCCAACTTTCTGTAGGATTGCTGGGCCTTTGCCTATGCTGTTTGTTCTCTGCTTGGAACACCTTCCACTCTTCTTTTGGGTAACTCGATGCCTTCTCCAGGTCTCAGCTCAGCTGTCACTTACACAACCCCATAGGCAGGCTTTATCCCCAACCCTTGTCCACAGTATCCTCCAGGTGACTGTGTCTCCCAGGTGGGTAGCCCCTGAAGTAACCCTCTACACTCCATCACTGTCAGAGAGTTGGAAGGCTGGAGAGGCATGACCCCTCAGAGTCAACCTAGATCCTTGTGGCTTCAGCCCCCAGCAGGTAGGGAGCCCACCAAGCTTCAACTCTACAGCAGAGACACAGCCAAGGCTACTGGTATGTGCAAAACATTGGCTTGTGAAAATTACAGTATCCAAAACATGATTTTTTTTCTAAAAGAGCTTTTTAAATTTTGTTTTCTAAAAGTTAAAACCAGAAAATTTCTGATTTCTGACAGGTTAAGGATTTAGGGGAATTTTTAAGTTATGTGATGTGAGGTTCTCTGTAGTTTTGTACCAACTAGATTGTTCATTTCCTAAGAATGAGGACCTCTCCTATTCATCTTTGTAATAGGGACAGTGTCTTACAGATGAAAACATTCAATGACCCTACATTAGAGGAGAAGAAACTGGAGCACAAATTGGTTGAATGTTCCCCCATGTGACACATTTAATAAGGCTAATGTTGTTGAAGTGGAGGCTGGGCAGGCAGTAAGAGGATTCCCTTGTATACTTGCACGGTGAACATGAGTACTGGCATCGCAGGCCTCGTTCAATGTTGATACTCTTGAATTTAAAGTGGCATTTCCATGTACTCTTACAGATGTTCCTTCATTTGCCATCAGAAGGATAGCTGTGAAGTGATATATAGGAACTTTGTAGGCATATTTGATTTTTAAACCTCTATTAACTTTGTGTCAAATAATCAAAGCTTAACAGGATTTATATTAAGGATGGTGAGAGGGAATCAAACTTCATTTTTAGAGAAAAATAGCAAATCAAAATAAGCTGATGAAAGGGACTTTGTGGTTCTCTCCTTCCTTCAGCTCCTGATATGAATCCTAGACTTTTTACATATTCATACTAATTAGCTGTGCTTTCCAATAATTAGAGTAGCCATAAGCATTTGTACACTAATTCACAGTTCCTAAAGCATTCTTAGGAATATTAGCATAAATGTTTATTGAATGTCTCCTGTGTGCCAGGCATGATTCTATACATGATAAGGATTCACTGATGAATAAAACCGGTTAAAAAATCTCTGCTTTCATGGTGCCTACATTCTAACACCTTACTTTCCCCATTCATCCATACATCAACCCCACAGAATCACACTAGGAAAACTGGAGTTCAGGAGAGTAAAGTGACTTTCACAGGGTCCCAAAAATAGTAAGTTTGGGGTCACAATTTGAACTTGTCACTCCAGATTCCAAGTCCCATGCCTTTTTTTTTGCTAGGTCAGTATTCACTGTGGAATCATAACTGATACTCAAAAACATGATCTTGAGTAATATTCAGGAAAGAATATCATATTCAATAAGTTGCTTTTTTTTTCTTTTTGAGACAGACTCTCACTCTGTCACCAAGGCTGGAGTGCAGTGGTGCGATCTCAGCTCACTGCCACCTCTGCCTCCTGGGTTCAAACAATTCTCCTGTCTCAGCCTCCCAAGTAGCTGGGATTACAGGCACATGCCACCACACCCAGCTAATTTTTTGTATTTCAGTAGAGACGGGATTTCATCGTGTTGCCCAGGCTGGTCTTGAACTCGTGAGCTCAGGCAATCCACTTGCCTTGGCCTCCGAAAGTGCTGGGATTACAGTCATGAGCCACCACACCCAGCCCAATAAGTTGCTTTTATTATTGAGTTACATAAGTCTTTTTTAGAAAAGATTTAAGATACAAGAGTTAAATACTAATGGTCTTAACCATAAGAGTTAAAACTATAAATTAACTGGAAAGGAGCAGCTGCCTAGAGGAACCCAGGGCATGCGCCTTCTGATGGCCACAGTGAGTGCTGAGGTCTTCAGTGTAGGCTGTGAGGGGGACTGGCTGCCTAAACTGTCAGCCTGTGGTAAGTAGGGTAGATTAAGCTGATGGAGCAGAAAGCCTCACCATCCAAAGCCATCCTTTCCCAGACTCCATGTCTGGTGGGAATAGATAGGCAACCCGGGAAAGAGTACTAAAGTGTGTGTCTTAGTCCTTTTGGGTTGCTATAAAGGAATCCTCGAGGCTGGGTAATTTATAAAGAAAAGAGGTTTATTTAGTTCATGGTTCTGCATGCTGAACAAGAAGCATGGCACCAGCACGTACTTCTTACGAAGGCCTCAGGAAGCTTCCATTCCTGATGAAAGGTGAAGTGGAGCAGGCCTCACATAGTGAGAGGGGAAGGAAGAGAGAGAGCATGGAGGGAGGTGCCAGGCTCCTTCTAATCAGTGCTCACAGGGACTGATACAGTGAGAACTCACTTACTACTGAGAGGATAGCACCAAACCATTCCTGAGAGATCTCCCCCGATGACCCAGACACCTCCCACTAGGTCCCACCTCCAACAGTGGGGGTCAAGTTTCAACATGAGATTTGGAGGGGACAAATACCCAAACAATATCAGTTTGATAAAGAGGATATGAGTAATTTCATTCTCCCATCAGACAGTGTTTGTTTAGAAGAAAAGTACCATGTCCATAAATCATCAAATGCTGGCCCAGAGGGAACTTTAAAGAACAGCCCCTTGATTTAAGCCACACAGTTTACCAAACTATAACTGGACTGAAGAGTACGCTCTTTTTTTTTTTTTTTTTTTTTTTTGAGGCGGAGTCTCGCTCTGTTGCCCAGGCTGGAGTGCAATGGCGCAATCTCAGCTCACTGCAAACTCTGCCTCCCGGGTTCAAGCAATTCTTCTGCCGCAGCCTCCCCCGTAGCTATGATTACAGGTGCCCGCCACCATGCCTGGCTAATTTTTGTATTTTTAGTAGAGACAGGGTTTCACCATGTTGGCCAAGCTGGTCTCGAATTCCTGACCTCAGGTGATCCACCTGCCTCAGCCTCCCAGAGTGCTGGGATTACAGGCATGAGCCACCGTGCCTGGCCTAAGAGTATGTCTTTTTGCAGACCCCATAAAAATTTTCCAACTTGCTTATCTCATGTATTTGCACTAGCTCAACTGCAAGAATGACTCCTTAGTTGATGGGTCAGTTTCCTATTTCCACATACCTGACCTCATTCTACCTATAGGCATAAACTCAAGAGGAATTTACAACAGATGGGCTCAGGCAACAAGTTAGCCCCAGAGTGGAGCTCAGCTACAGAGGAATGCTTCACTGAAAGAAATGTGAGTCCCTGAATCTGATTCAAGCCTTTATCAAGTCCTACTTCAGTTAGAATCCAGTTTACTCCCCAAATACCCGTGAGCACTCTCTCAGTTACTATTTCCCTTGCTACACATATAGAAGAAAAGCAAGAAAGTTACTCTGCTGGGAAACACTGCCAAGGGGTCTTAGAAGCAAGAAAATTTGCCTATTTTATACAGGTAGTTTAAAGAGAACCACCCTTATAAATGGGTGTTTGTCCCCTTATTATTTCAGGACACTTGAAAGCTCCTCTCCTCCAATATGTCTCTAATTCAAGTATCACAGTGTCTAAAATTCTACCACTAAAATGCCATTACCTAAATTAAGCACAGCCTTCTGTCTTTATGTTGATATTTCTTTAAATATCATGCCAATAGTTTTAAAATCAAATGATACTAAAGGTATATAACAACAAACAGTCGGGCCTGGCTTTATCCCTTCAACTCCTCTGTCTCATTCCCCTACCATTTTCTACTCTTTTACCCATTTCTTCTGGTAGTTCCCTATATTTCTAAATAATATGAGTAAACTATGATTTTTATGTCCAATTTTAAAGCTTTTCTATGGACCTCTGGTTTTAGAGACAACATCTAGTTCTCTTACATCCCTTGCCACTTCCCCTGATGCTGTAGGACAGACAGGTCTGTCCCACCCACGGTGACTCAGTCATTGTTGTTCATGGCCGCTGCCCGTTCTTCACGATCAAGGAGGAGAATTCTTTGGAGGAAACAGAGCTTTCATACGTGAATCGACTGGGAAGCGAGTCAAAAGTACTGCAACTGGAAGTGTGGCATGGGGAGGGGGCCGTGGCCAGTCTCCTCACTGGGCTCCTGTAGGACTGGGAACGCCTACTCCTTCACACCTAATTATGTTTGCTGGATTGGGTTATAGTTCTTCAGTGTGTGGACTCTTGTCAGTTTTATATCCGTAGGCCGAGCACAATGCCTGGAATACAGAGCATGCTTAATAATCAGAGGCTTTTCATTGTATTTCTTATCAACAACACTAGTAACTGAATATAAATCACCCTTCCTCGCCAGTCAGTGCACCATACCATTAGAATTCTTGCTTTTTGATCAGTGGAGATAAAATGAGTTTCTTTTCTCCATGTTAAGTAATCAGGTTCTGATTTTCCCTTTTCTTTCTCTCTAATAGTGTTTAATGCTCTAATGCTTTCTAAGCATGAGGTATTTTCTTGAGCTCTGAAGCCCAGTATCTTCAAAGCCCCCTTCAGGGAAACCTCAGTTCCCTGTCAGTCAAGGCCTGTCACTGGCTTTGCCTTGGCCTTCTCTGGGAGAATGTCTGCTCCTTAAGTTGATGGCATACAAGTTGAGGTGGGGAAAAATTAAAGTGTAGGATTTCTGTAGGCAGCTAATGTTTTATTACTGGAGTGCAGTGATGCGATCTCAGCTCACTGCAACCTCTGCCTCCTGGGTTCAAGCAATTCCCCTGCCTCAGCCTCCTGAGTAGCTGGGACTACAGGCACACACTACCACGCCCAGCTAATTTTTTGTATTTTAGTAGAGATGGGGTTTCACCATGTTGGCCAGGATAGTCTCGATCTCCTGACTGCATGATCTGCCCGTCTCAGCCTCCCAAAGTGCTGGGATTACAGGCGAGAGCCATAGCGCCTGGCCTAAAATGTATTATATAAGCATCATAGTGACCACAAAACAAAAACCTGCAGCAGATATACAAAATGTAAAGAGAAAGGAATCAAAGCATACCATTACAAAAATCATCACATTAGAAAGGAAGATAGTAAGGGAGTAACAAAGCAACAAAGGAACTACAAACCGCCAGAAAGCAATTTTTTAAATGGCAGTAGTAAGTCCTTATCAATAATTAATGTAAATGGATTAAATTCTGCAATCAAAAGATAGAAGTGGCTGAATGGATATTAAAAAAAAAAAATCTAGGTGCTGCCTGCAGGAGACTCAGCTTTAAGGATACACATAGGCTGAAAGTAAAGGCATGGGAAAAGATATTCCATGCAAATGGTTACCAAATAGAGAGCAAAAAAGATACTTATATCAGACAAAACAGACTTTAAGTCAAAAACTTCATAAGAGACAAAGTCACTATATCATGATAAAGAGATAAATTCATCAAGAGGATATAACAATTATAAATGTATATGCACCCAACATCAGAGTACCTAAATATATATTAACGGAACTCAAGAGAGAAATAGCAATACAGTAATAGCAGGGTACTTCAGTACCCCATTTTCAACAATGAATAGATGATCCAGACAGAAGATGAATAAGGAAACAGTGAACCTGAATAACATTCTAGAGCAAATGGACCTAACAGACATACAGAACACTCCTTCCCCCAGCAGCTGAATGCACATTTAAATGTACACAGAACATTCTCTAGGATAGATCATATGTTAGGCCACAAAACAAGTTTTAACAAATTTAAGAAGATTAAAATCATATCAAGTATCTTTTCTGACCACAATAACATGAACTAGAAATCAGTAACAGGAGGAAAATTGGAAAATTCACAAATATGCAGAAATTAAATACACACCTGAACAACCAGTGGGGTCAAAGAAGATATCAAAAGGGAAATCAGAAAATTCCTTAAGACAAATTAAAATGGAAACAACATACCAAAACGTATGGGATGCAGCAAAAGCAGTACTAGAGGGAAGTTTATAAAGAAAATGTGGTGTATAGCTGTATCTACACAATGGAATACTATTTAGCCTTAAAAAAGAAGGATTTCCTGTCATTTGCAACAACATGGATGAACCCGGAGTACATTACACTAGGTGAAATAAGCCAGGTACAGAAAAACAAATATAGGCCAGGCATGGTAGCTCACTTCTCTAATCCCAGCACTTTGGGAGGCTAAGGCAGGAAGACTGCTTGAACCTGGGAGTTCAAGACCAGCTTTGGCAACATATCAAGACCCTGTGTCTACAAAATTTAAAAAATTAGCTGGGCATGGTGGCATGGGCCTGTATTCTCAGATACTCAGGAGGCTGAGGGGGAGGATCACTTGGGCCTGGGAAATCAAGGCTGCAGTGAGCCTTGACCATTGCACTCACGCCACTGCCCTCCAACCTGGGCAACAGAACAAGACCCTGTCTCAAAACAAACCAACAAACAAACAAAAAAGAAAAATATGCATGACCTCACTTATTTTTGGAATCTGAAAAACTTGAACTCAGAGAAGCAGAGCATATAATAATGGTGGTTACCAGGGGCAGTAGGTGGGAGAAATGGGGAGTCGCTGGCCAAAGAGTACAAAGTTTCACTTAGGAAAGATGAGTAAGTTCTGGAGGGCTAATGTACAGCTCTAATGTATAGTTAGTAATAATACATTGTATACTTGAAATTTGCAAGAAGAATAGATCTTAAATATTCTCACCACCAAAAAAAAAAAAATAATGTGAGGTGATTGGATATACTAGCTTGACTGTGGCAATAATTTTACAATGTATTCATATATCAAAACATCACATCCTATACTACAAATTATGTAATTTTTATTTGTCAGTTATACGTCAGTACAACTGGGTGGGGGGGAGGGGGGGTGGGAAGAAGCTGTCTCCATATGAGGCCGAGGTGTCCTATATATCCTGAGCTTGTATTATCGCCTTTCAAGTGTAAAACCTGTAGGTGATGGGATGCCCGAAAGGTTTGAAAATCAGGAATGACAAGATCAGATTTTGCTTTAGGAGGGCAACTTGAGGCAGCTTAAAGAGTGGATTGCAGGAGGTAGAACTTGGAAGTGAGAACGCTGTTGCACAAGTGCAGTGAGAGAGGGGTAGCCTCGAGCCGAACCAATGGCAAGGGCCAGGGCTGGGGAGACCATTGGAGAGAGGGGTGGGAGCCACACTGGGCTATCACCGGGAATGGAGAGCTAGAAAAGAGAGGAGAAAGCACTGGCACAGGGGGCCTGCGGAGAGAAAGAAGGTCTGAAGAAAACCTGGCCAAAAGGAGAAGACTGGAGCCCTGGGCCATCCCGCTTGCGGAATGAGGGGCCGGCGGGCTTCCTGGGGCTGAACCCTGCGTGGCAAAGAAGTGGGCAGGTTTTCTTTCTGCCTGCAGAAGGCTTCTCAAATGCCTAACAAAGTGATGGATTTCACGCAGCCCAGCTCAGCAAAGAGAGACACAGACATCAGAGTGTTCTAGAAACAAAGCAGGGCCCCAGGGGGAAACTGCGAGGCCTAGCAGGGCAGGGGAGCCAAACACAGGGAAGAATGCCTTCTCCATTCTCCAGAGGGAAGCTCAACGTGCCTGGGGAAGGGTGCGAGGGGCACTGGCCTGTTGGGACATTTACAGCCAGGCCTCGGGTTGGTTTTATCCTTAAACATTGTTTTATCCGGGGGCAGGCTTTTTCCCCGGAAAATTTCCGCTCTGCCTCACTTTGCTCTTCCCCGAGGAGTGGGCTGGGAGCCCCCTCTGCTCTGAAGCCATCCTGGGGGTCCACTGTGGGTGTTCGGCAGTAGCTTCTAGGGGACTGGCCAGGCCCCTCCCTGGGGCTGCCTAAGGAGAAGAGTTGTTTCTGGGGTGACGTGGGAGCCTGTGTGCCAGGGCACTGGCCCGCAAGGGTAAGAACCCGGCGGGCTCCCGCAGCCTAACAGGGAGCTGCCTCTGTCACGTGCCTGCGAGGTGGGACACAAGTTGGCTTACAAGTTGGTTCGACATAGCCAAATCCGCGTGCCGCATTTCCACGCTATGGAGTGCTAGTCTTCATGATTGTGCCCCTTGACATGACACAATAGGAATAGAAGCCGGGAGGCCAAGCAAAGGCCCTCTTTGGGGGTGGGGGCGCGGCGGCATGTGACCCTCGCCGCCTGTGGGGAAGACCTGCCTTGAGGACAGAGCGCCAGGGGTGCAGAGGCCGCCTGGGACTGCCCGGAGGCCGGTGGGGAGCGCGCCAGCGAAAGCCCGTGCGCCCTCGGAGCCGGGGAAGGCGCGGGCCATGACCCGGGTTCGCCCGCAAAGGCCGGGCAGTGCCGCAAGGCGTGGGGGCGCCCCCGCCCGGTGGCCCCGGGGCTGGTGCGACCCTGGGCACGCCGGGGCCGGGGCCGGAGCCGGGGGTCGCGGCGGCCGGGGAGGGGGAGGAGCCGCGCGGCTCCGCCGGCGCCCCGCGGGCCAGGGAAAGTGAAAGGGCGGCGGGGCCTCCCGCGCGCCGCTCCAGGAAGTCGCGAGCAGGAAGCGCCCGCGGCGGCCGGGCCGGGCTGGGCTGCGGAGCGCGGGCCTCGGCGGCGCAGGTGAGGCGCGGGGCCGGGGCCGGACCGGGAGGCGGGGACCCCCCGCCCCCCCGCCCGCACCTGCGGGGCAGCCGGCGCTCAGGCGCCGCAGCCGCTCAGCACCTGCGGCGCCCTCAGGGAGCCGGGCGCGGGGCCCTGCGCACTCGGAGCTCGGCTCCTCTCCTTCCTTTTCTTTTTTTTCGGGGGGAGGTGGGGGCTGGTTTGGATGTTTTCCGAGAGCCGGGGACGGTCTCAAGCTATTTTCGCGGAGGGAAGTCTTTGAAATACGACATCTAGAAGAGTGGCCCTCGGCGACAATGCCGGGCGTTCCCGGACCGGGGCAACGCTGGGATTCCGGGGAAGTGGAGGCAGAGGGAGCGGGCACGGGGCCGGCAGCCGCTCCACGGAGTCCCCGGCAGGGGCGAGCTTAGCTGTCCAGCCGGGTCCCCTGCCCACCCCGGCCCGGGCCGCGGTGACAGCTGAGGGTCCAGAGAGCCGGCAGGAGGGGACCCTGCGCATTGTCTGCCGCGATGGGGACGTGGGCGTGCCCGCGGAATTCACCTCCTCCGGGGACCAGCCGCCCAGGGAGGAGCCGGCACAGAACGCTGGCTCGGAGCGCCGGCACCCTGGGCCTTTGCGTTGTTTGTCGGCTGAGCAGCTGGTTCCCGGAGCCCGTGGGCCTCCTGGCCAATGCGAGTGACAGCGACCTTCTGGGTTTATAATAAAGGGCTTGACGCGCCGGAAAGTCCCCTCGCCGCTGGCCACCAGCCTTCCAGCCCTTACGGCCCACGCCGTAATCCTGGTGACCGAGAAGGTACGTTCAGTCTAAGGATTTGCATTTGAACGAAGGATACTGGCCAAGCCCCTTACCACCCCCACTCCCCGCTAACACCCCAGCCCGCGGCCCCAGGTTTGAATTTCCAAAGGAGGAATTGCTAAAGCCTGCCCTTTCCGGGTCTCCCTTAGCTCTTTGCCTGGAAGGTGCCTGCCTGCCTGCCTGCCGGCCCTTGAACTTAAATCGTCTGAAGTTGTGTAAGTGGATAAATATTTTAGACTTCCCCCGTTGTTTTTTTATTAATCCCCTTTGAGAGCAAGCTTGAAAACACCTGGCCCCAGACCTGTGATTCACCAAGTCATTTTGGACCTGCATTTACACGTTCTGTTTCATGCAGCCCACCTGTGATGTTCTCTTTGTTGGGGGTTGGAGGCAGGTAAGGGAGGTGGTGCAAATGGAATTCAGGTTCCTTGTACTTCAGCCAAGGGGAAAGAGATAGTGACCATTTTCATTCATCTTTAATATGGAAAGCGCCTTTAAAAGCAAAAAGCCATAGAAAGAGCACACTCTGGACAGGAAGTTGTATTCTATCTCGTAATTTAAAAAAAAGAAAAGAAAAAATGCATGAAAACTTTTGGAGGAGAATTGCATTTCTCACCCATCTTTGCCTGTAAAGTGAGACCCAGTTAAAAAAAAATGTCATAAAGTAGATTATTTAAAATATCTGTGGGGCCGCTTTGATTATGTGTAATGCCACCTCAGCCCTAAAAAGACTGAGGAACCTTACTCCTGCTATTGCTCACTTCCTATCCCCATTATTTGAGTCTCTGCAGATTACTTGGAACCTTCTAGGCAGCGCAGATCACATGTGGGTGGGTCTGGGAGTGGAGCTTGTGAATGTTTCTTTCCTCAGCTTATTCTGTTTTACAGTTGCCTAGGGTGGGTTTTTTGAAGAAATAGGTATAAAACCATGTGTCTTTCAGAGTCTGTTTGTTTTTTTAACTTTTAGTTTCAGGGGTACATGTGCAGGTTTTACAGGTTGTAATAAAGATGCTCTAATGGGCTGTTTCCTAAGTTACTATCTTTTTATATTTTTTTAAGACAGGGTCTCGCTCTGTCGCCCAGGCTGGAGTGTAGTGGTGCAATCTCAGCTCACTGCAACCTCCGCTTCCCAGGTTCAAGTGATTTTCATGCCTCAGCCACCCGAGTAGCTGGAATTACAGGTGTGCACCACCACGCCCAGCTCTTTTGTGTATTTTTGGTAGAGATGGGATTTTGCCATATTGGCCATGCTGGTCTCGAACTCCTGGCCTCAAGTGATCTGCCTGCCTCTGCCTCCCAAAGTGCTGGGATTGCAGGCATGAGCCACCATGCCTGGCCTAAGTTGCTGTGTTTGACAGTGCAATGAAACTGGACATTCTGCCGCTTTTCCTCCCTGGAATGGTAAGTTCCAGGGGGGCCTGTAGAGAGTGACTTTTTAAAAAAGTATCTCTTCTTTTTATGTACTTGGGCAGTGTGCCAAAAACTGGGTTTAAACCAAGTGATTTGCTCCCATTCTGCTGCCCTTTCTCTGCAGGGGATGGGCAGGAAGAAGAGTGGCTGGAGGGAGGAGGTGGCTCAGAGAAACAGGACAAACTGGAATCTGCCCCACTTATCCAGCTGACCCAGGCGAGCCGCCTAGCCTCATTTTTCTCCCTTGTGAAAAGAACGCCCTGCCTCTTCAGGGTGGTCACGGGGCTCAAATGAGAGCATGTCAGTCATGGTTCGTGCTTCCAGAGGTCTTGACCCACTCAAAATGAAGTGGTCTTTAGTGGTGCTGCACAGGCTAGGGAGGAAGGGCCTCATTAGTTGAGCTCTTAACATCCCAAATGTAAAATCACTGTCTTTGCACATCTTAACTGCACTCACTATGAGAATTTATAGCACTTTTCTTTCACCCATTTTACAGGGAAAAGAATCCATCATTGTTTTAAAAAGAAATCAAAGAGGTTTTTTTTCCCTTCTTGATTTGTCAGTGCCTTCTGGGCCTTTGATGTTGTTGTCACAGGTTTTATCAGAGTTGGAGGTTTTTGATTTATTTAGTAGATGGCAATGGAATGTTTCCAGACACGCTGGACATGGAGAAGCAGCACTTGAGAGGAAGACGTTTGCTTCTGACCATCCGTTTCCAGACACTGTTGAACCAAATTCTTTACTCTGAAGTTGTCATCACAAAGTCATTTCCCAGAGTAGATCCAGACCCATTCTGGAGCCCACCCATTTTGAGCAAAATATTGCTTAAATCTAGAGGTTTGAGCAGACGTGGTTTTGAAGTATTTGTGGCTGTTCATTCAACGTGAGTTTCTTGAGCACGTGGTCTGTGCTAGGTTCTGGACAAGGAGATGGAAGTAGGACCTTGCCCTGCAGTCCCGGGCCTTCCTCTTTTGAATTTACAATGAGGATAATATCAGCTAGTGTTTGTTGCGCATTTACTACGTACCAGGCCACTTATCAAGTGCTTCCCATAGGTTATCTCATTGCATGTTTATAACAACATGGATGCTATCATCCCCATTGTTTAGCCTTGAAGGAGAGGGAGCAGAAAGGTTAAGTGACTTGCCTCGGCTTACACAGCCCAGGGTCAGCCTTGGAAGGAGGAGGTATTGGAGTGGGGTGAATCCCACCTATTCAGGCCCTGTAGGACCTAGGAGAAAGGTGTAGTTCTGGCTGGAGCAGATAGAAGAGATGAGGGGCGGCTCCTGGGACGAAAGCTCAGCAGGGATTTTGAATCTTTTTGTAAAAGGTGGTATAAGGGAAAAATCCTTGGAGAATGTGCATTTTTGGAAGCTCACTTTCGAGGGAGGCAAAAGTGAATGTGGGGAACTGATTGGCTTTGGAGGACGCAGTGACTCAGGAATGTCATGAGTTTGACATTGGGATGGGAGACCAGGCCTGCCTGCTGTGCTGGGCCCCTTCTCAGTTCTCTGGCCTCCCTCCCCATTCCTTCCTATATTGCTCTGCCTTCAGCCCTGACTTCATAATCAGGTCATTTTCTGTGACCTCTGAGGTGACCACAGGAGATGAAAAATGAAGAGGCAGACGAGGCAAATTCATTCCTCCTTTGGATTCAAATGGCAAAGTCACAATTAAATGATTGGTTTGATCTGCCCTCTTGTCTAGGCCCACATTTCTCTGTCACTACGGTTCAAAGGTGGCCTGGTCCATAGGGGTGGAACTGAGGCAGTCCAGTGCCCTGGCATGCCTTGATATCTGGGCACATAGCGTGGCTGCTGGACACATACTTGGTTTTGTGAATGGGTTGATCTCTAGATGCCTCCCAGATAGAGATGAGTTCCTTGGTTCCTTTTTATCCACCATCAGAACATTATTTGAAATTCATTTCCAGGTTCTCAGAACAAACCGCCTCAAGGGTAGATACTCCACCTCACTCCCCCTCTTCCTAGTAACACTGCTGGTGGGGGCCCCTGCTTGTATCAGACGTGCAGCTTTGATCAGGACTGGGTACTGCTACTGTACGTGTGTGGTTACTTCTGCCAGTAACGCTGAAGGTGTGAATGTCACGACACTGGACTCTGAATGCCTCTCCTCCTCCTTGTAGAGAGCAGAGCCACTGCCAGAAGGAAGGGGACAAGACCCAGCAGGACACCTTCTTTCCACGCTTTCCAGCCTGTGGGAGCGGCAGGGGCAACAGAGAGAGGATCTGGAGCCAGGATTAATGACTCATTTATGAAGCATCTTATTCTGCGACCGAGGCTCAGTGGTCAGTGGCGACGTAAATGGCTCGACTCCCCGCTGGCATTCGCTTCATCATCTCATTCTCCAGGGATCAGTGGTGAGTCCTGGTGGGGCAGGCCCTTGGCATGGAGCTGTGTATAGGTGAGGGCTACTGTGCAGGTAGTTGTGTTGCCCCAGTTTCATTATAAAACACATAAAACTTGAATCACTGACCTCACCCATAACCGTTGAATTGCTTTTTGGTGGTGGAAGCCGTGACCCAGAACAGTGCTGAGGTGTCCTTTGTCCTTGGTACTGGCATTGTCAGATAGTGTTTGGGCTCCCGCGTGGTCTCCAGTGGTTTCTCTAAGAACCATGGTCCCTACAGAAAAATGACCACTGACTACCAGCAGGGTTAGCAAATGGCTGTGGTGAAATAAGCACATAACTTATATATAAGTTACACAACTCTGAGATCAGATGAGTGGCCTTGCCGGGGCAGAACTTTCAGAGAGAAAATGAAATGTTCTGGTGCAGCCCAGAATGCTGCTTTCCGTTCAGAGAGTGCCTCGCCTTGCATATTCTGAGAATCCTTCTCTTAGGTGGCCTCATTAATTCCATTCTCCTTGAAGGAAACAGTTGACAAGCCCAGAGTCTGAAGCTGGGCTCCCTGGCCTCTAACTTGTCCTGCTGACCTCTTCTGGGAGAGGAAAAACTTTGCTTCTACCCTCGTAGGTTCTGTTTTGGGGGACCTGGGAATTAAACTGACAAAAGACAGACTAGCAAGAGAAAAGACAGATTTCACCACTTATGTACGAGAGGTCATAGAAAAGTGTCCCTCAAAGGGGCATTTAGAATTCTGGGCTTATGCACCGTCCGTCCTTCACAGGGGAAGGGGAGTGAGAGAAAGGTACCTGTGGGCAAACGAATGGCTTTTTGGAAAGACAAGTGGGCCCTCAAGAGAACAGAGAACAGATGGGCGATGTGGTAGTTTTGTGATCATTCCTGTTTCAGTGCAGTGTGGAGGCTTCTCATCTCCAGTGGTAAGAGTCCTGTTTCCCTGGCCCCTCCTAAGGGACAGGATTTATAGCAGATGGATTCTTTTGACTTCTTTTGGGGAACTCTGCTTTTCAGTAGCTAAGAGAATTCAGGAACGCAAATGCCTTCTGCTCAAAATGATTTTGATGCCACAGCGGCAGATTCTGGGCCCATTCATCTCCTCCACGCCAACCCCCTGGCAGCCCCCAGCCCTGTGCAGCTTCTCAGCCCTGCTGGTTGGTGGAGCATCCACAGGGTGTCTCAGGTTTGATTTGAGGGCATCTGTGTTCTTCAACCAGATTGCTTCTCTTCTTGACTTATTTCATGTCTGCTGTGAGTCTAGCCACAAGTGCCTGAACACTTAGGTTTTATTTAGTGAATGTCTAGCTTCTTCATTTTGTAAGTTTATTTTGATATAATTTCAAACTCACGTAACTTACTAACATCTGTAAGAATGTTCCTGTAGAACCGCTGTATGTCAAAGATTAACATTTAGCCTCATCTGCTTCTCTCCCTGCCCCTCCACAGTGTGTTTGTGTGTGTGTGTGTGTGTGCATGTGTGTAGATGTATGTTTGTACACACACACTTTTCTGAACCACTTGAGAGTAAGTTGCAGACATCATACCCTCTTATTTGTAAATACTTCCGTGTGTATTTCCTATGAATAAGACATTCTCTTATAAAACCACAGCAAAAAGATCAAAATCAGGAAATTTAACACCGATAAGATACTGTTATCTAACCCACAGTCCATGTTAAAAACAATATCAAATGTCAAATATCTGTGATAGCATTTCTTCTTCTGTTCAGGATCTAGTTCGGGTTCATACATTGCGTTTAATTATCCTATGGGTCTCGTCTCTTCATCTAGCACTGTTCCTCGGCCTTTTTTCATCTTTTCTGACCTTGGCTTTTTTTCCTTCTTCTTCTGAGACAATGGCCTTGTTGTGTTTGAAGAGTTCAAGCCACTTATTTTATAGAATGTGCCACATTTTAACTTTGTTATTTCCTCATCCTCATGATTAGATTCAGATTATGCATTTTTGACAGAAATCCCATAGAAATGAGGCAGCTTTCTCTTTAATGGAGAAGGAGCTATAGGCATGGGAAGAGGGAGGGGAACTGGAAGGAACTGAGTGAGGTTGGATTGGAATGAAAGTTCTCGGGATAAACTGGTGATGGTCGATATAGAAATAGAGAAGGGTGTGTGTGTGCGTGTGTGTGGGTGTGTGTGTGTAAAATGCACCCCGCTAGGAGGTCCTGGGAACAGTAAGAGCACTAAAGTGAGCACACTTTGGTCCGGGATCTTGGTTTCTGCATGGCATCTCCCACTAAAAGGAGCCAGGAGTCCTTGGAGACCTGGCCAATGCCAGGACTGGGGCAGGGCAAGGAATAGATGAGCCCAGAACATCTTGTGCCAGAAAATAAGGAAGTACTTACAAACAAAGGGACTCTGACTTGTCAAATCTAGGACAATCTGAGATTTACAATAAATGAGACTCATGAATGATAGCCCATTGAATAGCGTAAGATTCGGCGAGTCCTACTGATATAACTAAAGAAGTAGGAGAAATGCACGCTCGCCGTACAGTGGAAGCTGGCCGCTAGGTGGAGCGGGGATGTGGAGCCGCTGCAGGGTACCCAGCGCAGGCACAGAACGCCATGGATGCACCCCGTGGGGCGGCAGCTTGAGGAACAGGATATCTACATTATCTCAAAGCAGGTTCCCAGAAATTCCATATTCATTACTTAGAGGGAAACGTAGTGGTTTCACTGAGGAACTATGAGGCAGACAGCACTTTAACCAATGACCAACGTCAGTGTCACTGCCCTCCTGCACCTTCTGACGGGATACTCTGAACAGGACATGGCATCGCTTCTCTGTCTCAGAAAACATAGACAGAATTACAAAATAAAAAAGGATTTTGGGAGGGCTGTTTGGCTTCTGGGGGTTTGAGCCCATCCATGCTGCAGAGTGAAGCAGAGGATGTCTTTGGACTAATTTCTGCACCAAATCATATCACTCAGTAATTCTCAAAAGTGTTTCTTTATTCCTTATTTGCATGTGATTGAGGTAATAACAGTCAAACAAGGAGACAGATATTTTGCATGGAGCCTCTCACCCTAAGCAGGCTGCCATTCACCTGAGAACACGTGGTCTTCCAGAACATCTCTGAGGAGGCCCAGAGGGGCACCCCCATCTGGTGCTGTCATTGCTGAGACCTGCTTTTTTGCTAGAAATGTGGGATTTTTCATATTGGTGGAAGCCAAGCATGCTATAAGTAGTCATAACTGCAAAAAGTAAGCAGAACACTGAGGAGCAGATAGATTAGATCATTTATTTTTTTATTGTATTTGTTTTATATTCATAAGTCTAAACATAACACAAAACAAAAATGAAAGGATTATATTAGCCTCCTGGGGCTGCTGTAACATGGTACCACAAGCTGGGTGTCTTGAAACAACAGGAATTTACCCTCTCACATCCCTGGAGGTCAGAAGTCCAAAGTCAAAGTGTCAGCAGGGCCACACTTCCTCTGCAGGCTCCGGGGACAGACCCTTCCTTGCCTCTTCCAGCTCCTGCTGCTGCCGCCGTTCTTGGCTGGTGGCTGCATCACACCAGTCTCTGCCTGTGTGGCCACGTGGCCTCCCTTCCTGTCTCTGAGTCTTTGCGTGGCCTTCTGGTGAGGACGCCAGTCATTGGAATGAGGGCTCACTCTATCTAATATGACCTCACCTGAGCTAATCATGTCTACATGACCCTATTTCCAAATAAGGTCACGTTCTGAGGTTTTGGGTGGACATGAAATTATGGGGGATGATATTCAACCCAGTACAAAATGAACAAAAGGAAACATATCATCCAAAACATCTGCTTTATAAATGATAAAGAAAACGTAGATAGAATTACGAAATAAGAAAGGACTTCGGGAGGGCTGTTTGGCTTCTGGGGGTTTGAGCCCATCCATGCTGCAGAGTGAAGCGTCTGCCTACCCAGAGGCCAGGCGTATCGGGGTGACAACCAGCAAGGCAGCGGCCCGAGTGTGGCTGCCGCGGTTTAGCAATAGTCACGGGAGCTGAAGTCAGACCTTTCAAAGAGGAAAGTCTAGCCTCCAGCCACTGCGTCCCCCATCCCCAAGCCCCAAGTCCTAAGTACAGAAGATGAAGAAATGAGAGAGGAAAGACGAATTTGGAAATAGAAGTAGAGTTGGCCTGACACCAGCTAAATAAATACAGCGTTTTCCTCTTCAGTCTTTAGGAACATTCCAGTTTGCTGTGTAAATGGACCCTTCACCCAATTCTACAGGACGGCTTCTGTCAGCCTGGCTACACCGTGGCAGTGACTCTTCCCAAAGGGTCTCATTCATTAAGGTGTCTCCCTCCACACAAGGCTGAACTAAAGGTTCCAGAGGCATGTGCTGCCCCTTGTGTGCTCCTCAGTGTTCTCAGGGCATCTCTAGGCGTGTGCTGTGAGCACCAGCCGGGAGTCACCCCGCAGAGGAAGGCAGGAGCCCAGAACGCATCACCAGGGCCTGATCACCCAAGCAGCCCTGACCATTGGGAACGCGGTGTGTGTCGGGGCCTCAGCACTCTTCAGACCTCAGCCCGACAAAGGGAGACAGCCTTCCTTCTGGGCTGTCTGGGTGGAGAGTGGAGATGTGAACCCACAGCCCATAGGACAGAGCTGCTCTTCTCAAAATCCTTCCTAGCTGGGTGATAACACCTGTAGAACTGGCACTGTGGTTGGAGAATCCTCCTGCATGGAGCAGGAGAGATGGTCCATGGACTTGTCTGAGACTGGGGAGGTGCTGGAGGCAACTTGGCCTGAGAACTTTGTTCACCTGTTTTGAGGAGATTGGAGAAGGAAACCCTGTACTCCAGTGAGGGCCGATCAGGGTCACCCATCAGCCTTACTTGCCCTAGTCAGCTCCAGCAGGTGGGGTGGAAGTGACCAGTTTGTCAAGCTGTGGGCTGGACAAGTGAGCATTGAGGGCCGGTGAAGCCCAGTGGCCTGGAATCTTCCTGCACCAGCAGTCGAAGGCGTGAGAAGCAGTGGTGGCCTAACAGAGAGCTTCATCCAAAGCGCTGAGACTTTCTTTCCTTGCCAGAAAGGATGGTTTTCAGAAACACGAGGACAGAGGCCGGGGCTTCTGGAGCAAATCCACTGTACCCACATAGCCTTTGTTCTTTGGGCTTTGGGATAAATGATAGGCTCGCCTTTTAGGGTTTCGCTTTTTTCCCATTTGGCCCTTGCCATGGGCTTGGAGAGGAAGAATTGGAGAAAGGCCATTGGAAGATAGTTCCCTGATGAAGAAGAGAGCACTGGGGAATTTCTGTCTTCAGTCAGCAGGTATTCTGCGAGTTGGTTTGGTTTGGTTCCTTCCCCAAAGGCACAGGCATTCCAAAGGTTGTAGTTTTGTGTCACACGGAGCCACCAACCTTTCTTTCCCACCTGAAATATGGCCTTTTTTTTTTTAAGAAAAATCTGGAAATATTTATTTGACCCCTACTTTAGCTGGTGACCAGAGAAGAAGGCAGCTCTGGGATCCTAGGATTTTAGTTACTTGTGGAAAGCTTCCCTCGGAGTAAATCACAACATTAAAAATGTAGATGCGCAGCTGGGAGAAGCAACCCCTTATCCCAGGGACTCTCGGAAACGCTGCCTTTCTTTGTCCTGTGTAGGACGCCGCCTTAGGTAATTATTGATTCAGGTTGTTGGTGGCGCCATTTGAAGTCTCTTCCCAGGCCACAAGCAGGACAGGTTCTCCAGGGTAGGGAGATGTGCCTAGGACACAGAAGAGCTGCCCCTCGCCTTCCACTCCTGTCAAATACTTCTTTCTCCCAACCCATTTTGTTGCCCCAAAAAGTATTTTTCTATGCGGTGGTTGAGACTCTTAGACTGGAGTTGCCCTTTGTCTTCTTTCTAAGGCACCTTCTTTTCTTCTTTCTTCCTCACACTCATGCTGACTCTTTCGGCTGCTTTTCTCCCAGCCAAACTGAGCGAGGGGCTTTGTACCAGTGTTTCTGTCACTGGCCTATTGAGAGCCTGCCAGCGTCACTGCCTTTTTCTCTTTGAGGGCCGTGAAATATTTATATGTCTGCCTTGCTTGTGTGCTTCTGAAAAGTTGCATAGAAACCAAAGAGCCAAAAATAAATATGATCTTAATTGCCCAGGATAGCAGGCTACGCCAGAAACTTGTGGTTAGTTTTGTTGTAAACTAAACATTTCATCGTGCTTGTTCTGCTTTGTAAACTCAAGTGTGCATCTCGAGTCCCAGGTTTCCCTTTGGTTACGGTTTCTTTAAATAGATGAATGCTTTTGATATTGTGACGTAATAATAAGAAACATGCTTTTGGTCTCTGGCCCTGGTTCTGGGCACACAGCTCCTACAACCTTTAGTGCTGAGTGTCTTTTTGTTTGCTAATGAGGTGACTGTGGCGGGCCCCAGGACAACCTCCTGGGGGACTGGTTGCCAGGGCAACCGACCACGTGATTAGAGGTTGGGACTCCACCCGTGGACCTCTGGGGAGGGGAGGGAGCCCGCAGAGGTGGAGTGGATCACCAGTGGCCGGTGTTCTGCTCGATCGTGCCTGTGTAATGAGGCCTCCACAGACTCCCTCAACGACAGCGTTTGGGGGCTTGCAGGCTGCTGAGCACGGGGAGGTTCCCGGAGGGTGGAGCCCTGGCGAGGGCACAGCAGCTCCGAGCTCCCTGCCCCATACCTCGCCCTGTGCATCTCTTCATCTGTATGTATTCTTTGTAACATCGTTTATAATAAAGCAGTAAATGTGTTTCCCTGAGTTCTACGAGCTGCTCTGGCAAATTAATCGAACCTGAGAAGGGGTTCTTGGGAACCACCCTGAGAGCCAGTTGGTCAGAGGAGCAGGTCACAACCTGGGGCTTGTTGCCATTGGCATGTGAAGCGGGGCAGCCTCGGCCGGAGCCCCGCCCTGTGGGGGCTGATGCTGACTCCTGGAAGACAGTGTGAGAATTGAATTCACTTAGAGGACATCCAGTGTCAGCTGGAGAATTGCTTGGTATATGGGGAAAACCCCTACACACGTAGTGTTAGAAGTATGGTATGTTGTGTGTTGTGCATGAGGGTAGGAAAAGCAGTCTGGTTTTTCCTGTCTCTTACAGTGTTCAGTTTCCATTTGGACAAAGCAAACGTGGCAATATTTTTTAATGTTCCAATATTATAGTGACATAAGTAATATTGATAATGGCTGTAGAACTGAATGAATAATACACAGCATAAGAACGTTTCAGAACACAGTGATATGTATTCCTAACATAACTTCTGTTATTTCATATCATCCTCTCCCACTGTTTTGTGTTTCAGGTACAGAGCCTTCATTTTTATTTTGACATTTCTGCTGTATGCAAGTTTTCACTTATCTCGAAAGCCTATCAGCATAGTTAAGGTAAGAATCATGGAAAGCACTGCCTGTCGTCTCTGTGAGGAGTTCGTCACTTGAAAAGCTTGTGGGGCAGAGGATGGGGATGGTAGCAGGTACATGGGGAAACAGATTATGTAGAAACAAGTTATTCTGCTGCTTTGGCTTTTCGGTTTCCCTTTGCTAAAATTAAAGTCTTTTAAATGTTTTTTGGATTTATACTTTCAGAGGTAGTAGACTTTTAGTTTTATTAGTTGACATTTCCAGAATTTGAAAGCTTAGCTAAATATTTATTTTATCTTGTGTGACTGTTCCTTCCAAATGTATCCAGTCTTAAGTGGTTCCCCAAATTCCAGCTCTTCGTGCGATCCAACCCTAGGTCTGGCTGCGGAGGTGGCTCTCCATTGTTCTTGGAACGCTGCATTTTTGTCTGAGTGATGGGTGGGCAGGAAGTTGTTAAGCAGGTGTTCTACTAGACTTTGAGAAAAGAAGATTAAAGCAGACAAGCCTACATAATCACCAGTTATAACCTGGAGAAAAGCAGGAATAATTTTCTTACCCTCATTGGGATTACGTCACCCGGCCTGTAGACCATCAGGGGCCTGAGAGGCATTAGAGTCTCTATCGTAGAAGAACGAGGAAATCATCCACTGCCAGAGACAGTGCATTCACAGCCCAGTGGCCCCTCGCTCACTCTCCGGGAGTTGGCAGGGACCCAGCTCCAGGACTGCAATTCTGTGACCTTTGGAGCTGTGCTTCCTCCACTCCTGCCGGTGGCTGAGCCCTGGGTGGCTGCCCTCTGCAGCCCTGGTCGGCAGAGGCAATGCAGAGGCTGGCTGTTTTGTGACGGTCCTAGGTTCCCCACTCTCCAGCAGCTTTCAGGGGATGTTAAACATTCATTTACCCAAAAGATTCTAAAATTCCCCCTTGGCCCCTGATAAGCAAGAAACTTCCATGCCTCTCAAGTTGTTGACTGTGGAAAACGTTTGCAGACCTTTGAAAATGTGGTTTTTAAGAGAGAAGAATATGAAAAGAGGTGGTGGGCCTTAAACACTCATCCGCTTGACAAGAAACTCTCAAATCAGTACCAGTAACCAGTCATTATAAATCTGAATACTACTACTTCTTGTCTTTCTGGTTAGAGAAATATACAAACAGCTCAAGAAAATGGTAAATTATAAAGATGGAAGTGACTATTGAAGAGACTTGGTGAGCGTGTTGGAGTTGAAGGATCTGGTGTAGTTGGGGAGCTTGTGTGGGGTTTCAGGATTGACCTAGAAAGGTTGGGTGTGGATTGTAGGGGAAGAAAAACAGCTTTACAGGTGGGAGAACTGCCTTGAGTGCTACGTGCAGGGATGGGCATCTCCATGAAGGCACCACCTGTTGGGCTGGGGGGCTGTTGGGGCAGATGTAGCGTGTAAGGTGGGCTGGCCTTTGGGGGAATCTTTGTCAGGCCACAGCTGTTGGGGTCCACCTGATGACTATGAGGGCCCCTGTGAGCCAGGAGCAAGTGGGAGCCCTGTCCCGGTCCCTCTCCCGGCTTTCCTGGTGGTCCATCTCAAAGCCCCCGCCCCTGACTCTCGTGTGTAGTGGTGTCCAGGCCACTCAAGACTTAGGGCTTCTGAGGAGGCGGCGTCAGGGTCAGCTCTTAGTTCAGTGTCATAAGTAACAATATAAATAACTGCCGCTTACAGAGCCCTGGGGTATGACAAACTGCCACATACATTACCCCTGTGATCCTCACAGCAACCCTGCGAGTGCCCCTGTGAGGAAATTGAGGCTCGGGTCTTCGTTCCCCAGGCAGGGCTGCCACACACTCGAGAATTCCCTGTGGGTCAGGCTGCCTCCAGGGCCCCTACTCATCCTCTCTGTGCCTCAGGGTTTGTCCGGGTTTAATTACCTGAGTACAGTCCCAGCATCACCCTCAGAGCCTCCTAAACGCACAGATTTCCTGACCTAGCAGCTGCGATGTGCCTGGGCATGGATTGGCTTGACGCTGAATCCTGTGGGTTTCTTTACCTTTCAAGATAGATCAGAACATCACACCACATCAAAACTAAACTTTATAGTGCCTTCTGAAGCGCCCGTGTGCTTGAGCTCATGATATAAATGGCATCAACGAAACTGAAAGTAGTAGTGATTCTGTTGACCCACAAAACAGTTGAGTGATTATTTATAGCCTGCATTTCCCAGAATATTGTAAGCAAAACCAAAGCAAAATGTATTTGCTTACTTGAAATTGAACCAGAGGCTGTGAATTAGAAAGTGAGTCTTATTCTGTTATGTCATTTATAGAATGACACGGCACACCAGGTCACATTTAAGTTAGTTAAATGGAATGTTTAGACTTACCTTTGATCACTGCTGATTAATTGTATTTTTCTCGATGATGATGATAAAACCAGGGCTGGGAGGATAGTGGTGTTATAAGTGCAACCCTGTCCCTTCTATCTGCTGCTCCAGCTGTGGCCTAGCCTCAGGACTCAAGGCAAGCGTCTGCCCAAGCTGGTAGACAGGTGAGTCTGACTCCCAGCAGAGATCTTAGTGCGAGCTCTTTTCACCTGGACTGGGCCAGAAAAGAAACCTGAAAGCAGAGGCTTCCCGGAGAAGCTTAAACTGCAGGGGTCCCTGGAGCCAGGGGGATGGCAGCATTGATTTGAATGTGAGTGTGCCCACCCCTCTCTGGACACACAGGACTTAAAAGGAGAAAACTGGCTAGGCGCAGTGGCTCACGCCTGTAATCCCAGCACTTTGGGAGGCCGAGGTGGGCGGATCACCTGAGGTCAGGAGTTCAAGACCAAACTGGCCAACATAGTGAAACCCTATCTATACTAAAAATACAAAAAAAATTAACCAGGCATGGTGACAGGCGCCTGTAATCCCAGCTACTGGGGAGGCTGAGGCAGGAGAATAGCTTGAATCCGGGAGGCGAAGTTTGCAGTGAGCCGAGAGCGCACCATTGCCCTCCAGCCTGGGCGACAAAGTGAAACTCCATCTAAAAAAAAATGAAATAAAATAATCCTCAGTGGCAGACAGAAAACAAAGTCTGAAAAGCTGGAAGTATGTACTATGGGTGGGAAACTTGTTATTTGGAAAGTTCCAATTCTCCCAGTGTTAATATTTAAATAAAATGCAACTCCAGTGAAAATCTTAGCAGGGTTTTTTTTAATTGAATAAAATAATCTTAAAGTTTGTATGAAAGAATGTCCAGGAATTATCAAGAAAAGTGTAAAGATAACATTTTATGATATGAAAATATGCAAAAGATTAACATATTTTAATACCATAATCAAATTATGATATTACATGAGAATAGACAAAAAAGTCAGTAGAATAGATTAGAAAATATGGAATATTTGACAGAGCTTATTTAATAAATTTAATAAATGGTGTCGGCACAACTGGTTATTCGTCAGGAAGAAATAAATGTTGAATCCCTATTTTATAAAAACAAATGGCCCGGGCACTGTGGCTCACACCTGTAATCCCAGCACTTTGGGAGGCCGAGGCAGGTGGATTACCTGAGGTCAGCAGTTCGAGACCAGCCTGACCATCTCTACTAAATGTACAAAAGTGAGCTGGGCATGGTGGCGGGCACCTGTAATCCCAGCTACTTGGGAGACTGACGCATGAGAATCGCTTGAACCTGGGAGGCGAATGTTGCAGTGAGCCGAGACCACACCACCGCACTCCAGCCTGGGTGACATGAGTGAGACTCCATCTCAAAAAAGTAAAATAAAATAAATGGATTAAAGACATGAATGTAAAATACAAAAAGTACAAATCCAAGAAGAAAATTATGTTTATCGTAGGAGTGAGTGTGAAGTTAGGAAACCCAAAGAAACAACGGGCAAGGGGGATGAACAAGCAGTTTACAGACACGGAATTCAGATCGCCAGGAAATATGTGAATGGTGTTCGAGTCTGCCGGTATTCCATATGCAAATTAAGGCAACACTGTGCTCAGTGGCTGGCACAGCATTGCCCAGGGCAGTAAGCGCTATTCACTGGTCGTGAGGGGAGAGGAGTTTTCATGCGTTCTTGATGGGATGTCAAGCGTTAGCGCCTTTTGGTGACACCCAGTGAAATAAAAAACACTACAGCCTTCAGACATACTTCTGGGAATTTCACCCTAAAAATAAAAGCACCTTACTTAGGAATATCTTCATAAGCATCTTTATGGCAGCTTTGTAGTGACCAAAAAAAGCAAAAAGGAAAAAAAAACAATGCTGGATATCAAGGGAACCTAATAAGTAGGTAAAAGTTTGAATAAATTATCACAAGTCCGTATTATGAAATGTGCAGGTCCCTAAAAGAATTCATCACAGGCAAACCAGTTGACTCAGAAACATTTCCAGGAGGTACTTTGAGTAAGAAGTTAACATGTGCATAAGGATGTATAGAATGATTCCATTTTTGAGAAGTAAACAATGACCAAGAAGCTCCTCCATCTATTTCTGTATCCTTCATGAGTGGAGCATTTGCGTGTCTGTCCCTGAGTGTGTATAATGCATTTCACGTGGCACCTGTGACTCATCGCAGGAGGCTGGCCGTGGGCAGGTGCTGTTGTCTGTGGGGGAGAGCCTGGCTGGTCGCTCCTACTTTTGGTACCAAAACTGTAATTGCTCTTCCAGGACTTAGATAATGCTTTGGAGAATTCTTGTAGCCTTATAAAAGGAATGTGAAGGACTGGTTAGAATCAGTGCACCCACACAGCCTAATGAGCCACGTAAAGTTGACTAGACAGATCGTCAAATGCAGATGATACACACACACACACACACACACACACACACACACACACACACACACACACACACACACACCCCCTCTGTGTTGGCTGAAGGTGGAGTGAAACTGGCCTAACCCCACTGTCCTCCAGGGGGATTCAGTGAGGCCTGAATCCCCTGCTCCTGTCCTGTCCTCTCACTGTTGCCTTTCAGTGGCTCCTGCACCCTCCAGACTGCCTGATAATCTCCTCTATTGGAGGCCACGTACCTGCTGCAGAGAATGTGTCGCGTGGCTGTAGTCTTAGGCAACTTAGGTGGGGCTGAGAACCCAGGGCCACTTCTGTCTGCGAAGTGGCTCAAATTCAGCATGGAAAGAACGGAGCCTTCATGGAATGCAGGCGAATACAGTGAATGTTTGTGCCTAAATGACTGCGTGGGGCTCTGCAGGTGTAGGATGAGGGAGGAGTCCAGTCTTTTCTAGTGTCATGAAATTCCCACCGCAGCTGCCTGCTGCTCCCCGGACGGGATTTCCTCTCGCTGCCAGTGGGAGGGGTGGGGAGGGCTGGATGTGGCGAGGGAGTCTGTAGACAGAAGACATTGCCAGCTCCCAGCCCCACCGCCTTCCCCGCACACTCGTCGCGCTGTGACTCCCGGCCCCGCCGCCTTCCCCGCACACTCGTCGCGCTGTGACTCCTGGCGGTTTTCTGTGTTCTTCCAGAAGATTGGCACCTTTCTTCTCCCACCCCCACCCTCCACCCGCGATGGCATCTGCTGTTTATTTTTGTTGCTGTTCTGTGTGTTGCATGGACGCTTTAGCAGCCGTGACGCCCGCGTCTTCACAGGGCCCACTCAGCCTCCCGCCTCACATAAGTGTGGAGTTCAGTTGCTGCAGAGGCTTTTGCCTGATCAGTTTTTAATATCTACCTGATGTCACAGGTTGATTTTGTATGTAACTTGTTGAAAGGCACTTGTGTAAAAAGGTGTAAAGAAAGCTGCTTTTATGAAAGCAGACGTTTCCCAAAGGACTTGACCCCCTCCCCAAGTATTTCCGCAGGGATGGTGTGGCTATGCAGAGGTGAGGGTGCTTCCCTGAAGTGCTTTGGTGAGAATTTGCTCACCTGGCGAGGGGTTTGCTTACCAGTTCATCTTAACCTAATTAAGTTTGCATTGTCTCTGGAACGCCACGTTTGGGGGATAAAACTCATAGAAATACTGAAATATAGCAATGTTGTTGAAAACCTGTGGTTATGTAAATATCCTCAGAACTCTTTGTGCTGGAGTAATATGAAATCTCGATGGCTTTGGCAGCAGCCTTCCAACAGGTCTGCGGGGTGCGGGTGAAGGTGACCTTTCCAACATCAAGGAGAAGGGCCAGAGAGGCGCCCGGACTCACAGTGGCCCTTTCCTGGACCCTTCCCAGGGGCGGAGGGCCAGAGAGGCACACTCCGATTATGGTCCATCTTTATAGTAATGCTGGGACACAGGCATTGTCATGCCAACTCCATAACTGATGGCCAGGGAGTGTAAGTGATGTCACCAAGGCCAGAAGCCACAGAGAGGCACCAAGATCCCAGCTTAGGCCTGTCTGCTGCCGAAGCCTATATCCCTAACCAGGATGTGAGACCCCCACTCATTACATAACAAAACTAGGAAAACTTTTCTGCTTATTTATGAAAAAAAGGGAACATTTCTAATCGGATATGTTTTCCACAGGTGGTTCCTCCCCAGAAATATTAAATCACAAAGGATATAAAATTCTGTTTTAAGCGGCGGCCTGCAGAATCTCTTTTTCCTTTCTTCTGCACCAGGTTAATGTTAGAAACTTCAGCTTCTCCCTGCACATGATTCTCCCTCAGCCGGGGAATGTCCTGTATTCCTGCCCTAGCTGTGGCTTTCTTCAGTCAGAGGTGAATTGTAGTGGCGATGCTTAGGCCCTTTGGGCGTGGCCAGATTGACTTCCATGGGAGGCAGCAGGGAAAGGTGGGCAGAAACACCTGGCTTCTGAAGGTGCCAAGGAGAAGTGTTCAACAAGGCGGCGGGTGAACAGAGAAAGGCCACAGATACCAGCTTGATACAGAGAGGAAGGGCTGCAGGCACCCGCCCTGGGTCTCACGATCACACTCCCAGCCCCTCACGTCCACCTTGGGTGGAGAACTTAAAACACAAGCAGGAGCAGCCAGGGGGACCCAAGCAGTTGGGGAGCAAATGAAAGCACTCTCTTCCTGAGATGCCAGGAGGTCAGCATGGCGCCTCCAGGGAGGACCAGCTCTGCCAAGGGAGCTGCTGGGCAGATGATGACTTTGCATTGTAAAGTAGAGCCCTTGGCTAGTTTTTGGGGACAGTGTTTAATTATAGCAGAACAGCCCAGTGATGACGGCAGAGTCACGTGACCGTGGAGCAGCTGCATCACGTGTGACATGCCGGGACTCAGTGACGTGGCCCACGTGCTGCCAGCTGTAAATCAGGGTGTCTAGCTCCGATTCAAAAGCCCTGGCCTTTTGAAAGTGGCCAGCCTTGTTGGCCACTCCCTCCTGAAGAGGGGGGGCAGGACTTCCGGCTGCTGCCTGCCTGGGCACTGGGGTGGCTCCCTGCCCAGCGTTCTGTGCCCTGACCTGGAGCCAGCTTTGTGCACTGCCCTCCAGACCCCTGGCCTCTCTCAGGTTCCAGCTCACGAGGACACCCCTCTGGTATCACGGGCACTGAATGGGCACTCGATCCCCCTAAGGGACACCCCTCTGACCACAAGGACTTCACTTGCCGCCATCACTCACGCTTGATGGGGCAACTCCTTTGAATCTTGAATAGTGCAGAATGATCACTACAGAGACCCCTGAGAAGAGAAGCATGGGAGCGACAGAGGCCACCAGGGAGGGACACACAGTCACAGAGCACATTCTGTCTTCCTCAGTTTCCCCCGCAACAAGACGAGCCCCTGCCACATGTGGCGCTGTCCTGGAAGTGTTGTTCCTCTTCCCAAGGAATGCCCTGAGGAAGAGCCCACTTAGGCCCCTCTGCCTCCCAACGAGAAGCACCCACTCAGGCCCCTCTGCCTCCCAACAAGAAGCACCCACTCAGGCCCCTCTGCCTCCCGACACATGAGCTTTCCTCTCTGCCCAGGGTTTGTTTCACAAGGGCCGTGTCATCCTAAGCTCTGTGCAAAAAGCCTGGTGTTCAGCGTCACGGGTCCCAGTGACTTCTGTAACTGGGCAGCAGCCTTGTCTGCAGAGGGGGAGACCGAGGCAGGGGCAGCAAGTAACATGCTCACACAGCCAGTCACCAAACTCCAGGGCGATGGCTTTCCCCTCCTCCCACCTCCCAGACAAGTGTCTCCAACCCTGGCCCTGCTTGCTGGTTCTGTGGACAGTTTGGTGGGTGGGTGGTCCCCTGCCCCAGGGATATTTTTAAATTGAGGTATGATTTACACTTACTAAGTATACAAATCTTCAGTGTACAGTTTGGCAGATCTGTACATGCCCATAGGGGTAGTCATCCTCTAGGTTAAGGGATGGACCCTTTCTGGCTCCCAGACAGCTCCCCATCCCCTGTCCCACATTGTCCCCCTTTAGGTAACCGTGACTCTCACCTCTAGCCGCATGGATTCGTTGCCCATGCTTGGACTTCCTATGAGTGGAATGCTGCAGTCTGTACTCTTTCATGTCTGCCTCCTTCTGCTTCATGTTATGTTTGTGAGGTTCATCCTCATTGTTGCCTGGACCTGTAACTTGTTCTTTTTCACGGGTGTGTAGCATTCAGTTGTGTGAATCTAGGAAAATGTACCCCTTCTTCCTTGTGGACAGGTGGTCAAGGATGACAGGCAGTCGGCTTTCAGCTTGGAGCTCTTAGAACTAAAACTGCTCCCGAGGCTCGTCTTCTGGTGGCATATGAAGATGGCTTATGTTCGTCACGTGCTCAGGAGTGGGGTTGCTGGAGAGTCCTGCTGAAACGTCACCAGCAGGCATTCTTGTGGGTCCTGCAGACACACCGCCAGCAGCGCCTTGTGTCCCTCTTAGAATGCAGGGTGCAGGTGCCCTGGGCAGGCTGCTGGGAGAGGAGGGGTGACTGTTCCTCTCTGTGCCCCATGCTGAGCCTCACTGAGGGCACTTCCTCTCCCTGCTTCTGCCCTCCCATCACGTCCCAGGGTGAGCTCCACAAGTACTGCACTGCTTGGGATGAAGCTGACGTCAGGTTCAGCAGCCAGAACAGGAAGTCTGGGTCCGCTGCCCCCCACCAGCTCCCTGACAATGAGACCGACTGTGGCTGGGCACCGTTTGGTAAGTCGATTATCGGTCCGTCCAGGAGCCGAAGCGGCTGTCCTTCCAGCCTTGCTATTAATCACTTTAGCAGCAGTAATGCTGTTCCCAGATGTAACTGCATTTCCATGACAGCCCTCTCCTACCAAAAAGCACATGACTTCACCGCCACGGTGTCCACAGTGCCTGTGCGCAGAGCTGTTCCTCCTGAAAGAAGGTTCTCTTTATGGGGAAATGTGCTGAAGATCATTTGCATTTTGTATTTTGGACTTGCAGGGCATAGTTCTGTGGGTGAGAAGAAGAGAGAGACACGAGGCGCTGGTGTGGGTGCTGGCCTAGGCAGGTGTGCTGCAGAAAAGCCAGTGGACACGTAAAAGAAAAGGCATCAATCAAATGTGCAGCCACCATGCACAATGGGGATTTTATCTCATCTGAATGACGCCTGTATTATATTTAGTGATTATTTGAAACTGCGGTGACTTCATTTTCCTTTGCAAGAAACTGAACAGAAAATGCACCGCCTTGTTTTCTATGTGGAAAACCACGCGTTTCACTAAGTACACCCCGATTTCGGGAACAGATGCTTTGTGTTTTATAGCCGTGCTCTAGAACATAAACTAAACAATACTGAGCTTGTCCTGCTGGTTTTCAAATTCATATAGATAAGAACAACTATCAGCAGCTGCTTGGGGCCCTGGACTACTCCTTCCTGTGCGCCTATGCCGTGGGGATGTACCTCAGGTAGGTCTCCTTCAGTTTTCCAGACCCTTCCTGGTTACCTGGCCCCTCCGTGCAGAGAAGACATCCGCTATGCTGAAGTGCACAGGCGCGCGGGATTGAGGCCCCCGCTTGCCACTGGCTTCCCTGCTGTTCCCTTCCCAAAGACGAGGCCAAGCTTAGGAGAGAGCAAGTGCGTGTGCTGTGCCCACAACACAGGACCTCGAGGCAGAGGATTTCCGTGTCCCGGGCACTGTGCCAATTGACACAGGCTGCCCTCAGCTTTCCTGGCCCTGAAGTTTAGGACCTACCATGAATCCTGCCAATCCTGGGACGTGGTCATTCAGGAACAGAGGACTAGTTTCCTGTTCAGCAGAGCCCAACCTCTCCTGTGGTTCAGAGGTTGCCATCTGTTTATATGCCCCAAATAACGAATTTCACCTGATGATCGAAACAGTTGACACAGGATGTGCTGAACAGCTCTACCTGGATGCCCAGCTTGGCCCCAGAACTCTGAGCACAGCAGAGGCAGCCATGCATGGCGGGTGGGGAACTCCAGAGAGAGACCGGCTCGGATCTGAGTCCCAGCTCTGAGTACAGCAGAGGCAGCTCTGCGTGGTGGGCAGGGAACTCCAGAGAGACACCAGCTGGGATCTGAACCCCAGCTCTACCACCTGCTAGGATGTGGCCTTGAGCAAGTTACTATACCTCTTTGGGCCTCAGTTTCCCCTTTGCAACATGGAGGAAATAATAGTTCTTATGTCATAGGATTGGGGCAAAGATTGAGTTAATGTATGTAGAAGCTCACAACGGTGCCTGGCCTGTGCTGCCAGCCCAGCCCATTCTTGATCCCACTTTGAACTGACCAAGGCAGGTGGTGAATATTATATGGGTCATAGGACGTGTGATTGGCTGATTAAAAACTGCTATTGTGTCAGTCCAGCCAGGTTTTTTTTTAAAGGCAGTATAGGGATGTTCTAGCCCATTTTCTGTTGCTATTAGCACAATATCTGAGCTTGAGTAATTTATAATGAAAAAAGGTGTATTTAGCTTTTATCTAACTGGGAAGTTCAAGATTGGGCAGCTGCATCTGGCAAGAGCCTCGTGCCACATTGTAATGTGGTGGAGGGCGTCACCTAGCAGAGGCCCCTGTGAGATGGGTTAGCAGTGAGCAGGGCATACAAAACAGACACAGCACAGGGGTGACGTTGCTTTATAGCAACCAGCTCTCACCTCTCACAATAGCTCATCAGTCCTGAGAGCGCGGCCACTCACTCCTGCGGATTCATTCCTTCGTCAAGGCGGATCCCTCATGACCCAAATGCCCTTCAAAGCTCCCTGTACCTCTCAACACAGTTATACTGGGGACCAAGCCTCAACACAAGTTTTGATGGAGACCAACCATAGTCACACCACAGCCAGAGACTGAGGCATGTGGTCCCAAGAGGCTTTTGTTCAGAGACAGAGGTCTTTACCGCCTGGAGAAACCCAGGGATCCCCATAAATGTTTAGCTGCTTCCCTGAGACCTGCCCAGAGTGTAGGATCATCAAGACCTGGGCCCCCCTACCCCGCTCAGAGCCCTGGTGGGTGGTTGGTGCCCAGGCAGGCAGTGTCTGCTGTTGGAGGAGAGTGCATAGCTCTCCCTTTATTGAACGTGTGTATTTGCCTCCTGCTGCAGAACTTGTCTAAGTGAACAAATGAATAATAAAGATTTGGAATCCCAGAGTGTGTGGTGTGCAGCAGACCAGGAGCCTAGCTGGAGAGTGTGGTGTGTACCTGGGGCTTCCTTAGCGCTTGGGTCTCAGCCAGGCTGCCAGACCTTCTCCACTTTGAGGTCAAATGTTTATATTCCCCACACTGCAGTCTTACTGAACACAAATAATCTGTGGTATAAAAAGACCCAAAGTGGGAATGTGTTTTTCTCAGTTACTGGAAAACTGCATTTAAATCTGGTTCTCAGCTGGGGGCAGTTTTGTCTCCTAGGGGACATTTAGTAATGTCTAGAGACATTTGTGGGTGTCACAGCCAGGGAAGGGATGTTGCTGGCATCTAGTGGCTAGAAACCAGGGTGCTGCTAAACATCCTACAACACACAGGACAGCCCCTAACACCACAGAATTACCGGAGCCAAAGTATCAATAGTGCTGGGGTTCAGAAAGCCTGCTTTAAGTAAATAAACTGGTTTCTTGTTGCTTATTTACGGTAAAGATAATTCTTATGCAACTTGTCAGTAAGGTTATTAAAACAAAATTTGGTCTAATGTGACATCTACACAGTAAACTCATGACTGAAAACAAGGGCACATGCTGCTGCATTGAAGGGGCCTTTTTGTGTGACAGTCCCTACCTGAGGTCTCAGTGATGGGTGCTGTTTTGTTCGCTATGTCAGATGAAATCAGATCTGATAGGGTACAGCCATTCAGCCCAGGTACTGCCTGGTGGGTTCAAGCAGGTGCAGCGTGGACTTGAATCCCTGTATGAGTCCCATGTAATGTGAAATGGTGTTTGTTCAATTAGACCTTTTCTTTAAAATTTTTCAGTAGAGATCAAAGTAGGCCCAAATCATATAGCAAGATTAGAGAATACTTCTAAGCCTAGCCAGCAGCACCCAGCTCTCAGGAGCCCATCTGGTTGTGCCAGCTGTGCTGTGACCTGGGCAGGTCAGCCAGCCTCTCAGGGACCTATCTCCTGGTCTCTGAAGTGGGCAGGTTGAAGTCAGTAACTCTCTAGCTCTACAATGCTCTTGAGTCTGTGTGTGGTGAGGTTTTAGCTGAAATTTTCACCTGGATGTTGTCTATAATTTTAAGTTACTTTCTTCTGCTTTAGTGTTTAAAAGGTCATTTGCATGATCCAAGGTAGATCTTTTTTACTTGGTGAATTCGGAAGGAAAATCTCTCTGGCGTAGGTTTTTGAGATGAAAGCTGAGAACATTGGAGCTGACTCCCGGAGTGGGGTTCATGGCAGGCAGGTGTCACTGTGTGTTAGGTTTCCTGTTTATCTGACTCCTAGAATGACCCTACAGAAGAAAGTGAGACCCATAGAGTCTCTAATGCTTGTGAAGGGCTCACGTCCATCCGTGATACTCTACAGCTTTTCTGTTTACTTAATAAGTCACAATGTTAAGTTGGTCCATAGTGACATTTCCCATAAAACAGTAAGGGATGTTTTGGATGGCATTAGGTATTGTGCTGTGATGGCGGCTAAAGACTGTTAAGTCTGTTCCCTGCTGTGAAGCTGGAGACTTTTTACCACCCCCCTCGAGGCTGTTTTAGTGAGGCGCTAAGCATCCCTTATGCCACCAGGTCCCCAGACAGCTCTAGAAGATAAGACACCAAAGAGGGTAGCTGTTTAGTGAATCGCATTGCTGTTCAGAAGGATCAGAGAGATGCCACCCCAGCATTTCAGACCTTACCATAGAGCAAATCTTCTGCCTTTAAATCAGGTCAAAGTGGTGTGGCAGGAGGCGGTAGTGGCAAAGCAGCTGAAAGCCACTTCCCCACTGAGCCCAGCCAGCCAGGTGTATTAACACAGGTGACTTAATTACAGCTCGTGGGGCCGAATGACTTGCTCAGGGTCATAAGTGATCTCATGACATTTGGTGTAGTTTGACAACTGGAATTTTAAGACACTATATACATTTACTGGATATGGTTTATGTGAAAGCAGGATTAACTAGCAAGACGAGTTCCTGTTTCCTTTCATTGGCAGCTATCATAGATAAGTCCTAGTGTTTGAATTTTATTATTTGACAGATAGGACTTCTACTAGAAATAAAATCTTCTAAGATGTTGCCAGTCTCTGGTTTCTGGTGAGTAAGCGCTCCATAGGGAAATAAGTGTATGAAATCTTCCTGGAAATTGTAAGGCTTGAGAGTTCCCCAAGCTCAGAGAACAGCATGAAAGCATCCGGCAAGAAACAGCCACGAGGTTGCTAACATTCGGGCGTGTTTGTTATTCCTATTTGTCTTTCCTTCTCTCCACCTCAGTGGCATCATTGGGGAGCGCCTGCCGATTAGGTATTACCTAACTTTCGGGATGCTCGCCAGCGGAGCCTTCACCGCCCTGTTCGGCTTAGGGTATTTCTACAACATCCACAGTTTCGGATTCTACGTGGTAACTCAGGTAAGGGTTTGGATCCGTGGCTCACCATGTACGGGGTTTCCTTGGTGAATAGGGTGGAGTGTTTATGTCACGTCACCTCTGTCAAGGTGTTGGGAAGGGGCAGAAGTGCGTCCTGTCGGAAGTCAGGGTCAGCTGACGTAACAAAGTCCTTCCCTTTCTCTTCTGCTTAGAAATTCCAGCAACCAGGAGGTTTTCCTTAATTTCAGGAGTTGCCTCGTAAAAAATGCTGTCTGTCAGTGCCCCGGCAGGGAAACTGACATGCAGAGCCCTTGGGAGTCACTCTGTCTTCATGTGGATAAGTTTGAAATGTTTTATCTTGCGAAAGATTTGACCACTTAGGGGTTGGAGGGTGTGTCCTCCAGCTGAAGCCCCAGCTGCAGTCACCCTAACAGCGGTGGCAGGGAGTTCCCACCAGGGGAGCGCCCCAAACCATCCCAAGATGGGGCTGGTTGGGATTCCAACGAACAAAGCACTAAATGCTGGGTGATCAATTTAAAGCATGTATTAGGGGAACTTACATACTGAGGGCTGCAGTGTATGGTCGCAACACACAGCGGGACAGGGCGTTCCACCTAGGTCTGTCCACAGTGAGGGGTTGGCATATGGAGTTTATTTGAGGGTTTAAGGAATTTGGCTCAGGGCCAGGGTTAGTTTCTTTCCATGTTTTGGGTCAACAACTGAAACACCTTTATCAGTGCCTAGGAGTGTTCAGGGACCAACTTGGGTCCAAGCCTACAAAGGAAAACCTGCAGCTGGTTGGGTCACAGTGAGAGGAAAAAGGGGGAGACCTGAGGAGTCTACAGAGGGATGCAAGGGCGGAAGGAAGGGCCGACTTTGGAGTTGGGCAGCAGGAGGGGGTGTGAGGCAGTCAGTGGAGAGAACAGGAGAGATCATGAAGGTGCTAGAAGGGGAGAAGGCCTGAGGACAGCGCGCGCTGGCTTTGCCCTTGGAGCTGGAGCCCTTCCGGAATCTCCTGGCTTCTGCCCTTCCCAGCAGTCCTGTGGATCAATATTCAGCAGCCGAGGGAAGCTGCTGAAATAATGATGCTCATCTCGGGCTTTGTGATGCTTCTGGGGCTCCCCAGATAGGTCAGGGGAATGCTATAAAACCATCAAGCAGATTGTATTTAATTTTGCTTTTCAAGATTTTGCCATAACACTTGAAAAAGTTTGGCTATTTTAATTACAAAAGCAATTCACACTTGTGTAGTAATATAGAAAATTAGAAGGGAGGAGAAAACAATTTTCCAGAGTCCCAGCATGTTTCTGGAGTGAAGGCCCAGCCCGGTCAGCCCAGAGGCAGCAACAGTTAGACCAGCGGCTCCCAGGCGTCTTCTAGAGCAGCAGTTTCCAACCTTTTTGGCACCAGGGACCAGTTTTGTGGAAGACAGTCTTTCCACTGGGGACCAGGGTTGGGGAGAGGAGGATGGTTTGGGGATGAAACTGTTCCCCCTCAGGTCATCAGGCATTCGATTCTCATAAGGAGCGCACAACCTGGATCCCTCACATGTGCAGTTCACAGTAGGGTTCGCGCTCCTATGAGAATCTAACGCCCCGCTGATCTGACAGGAGGTGGAGCTCAGGCGGCAATGCTTGCTCTCCCACTACTCACCTCCTGCTGTGTGGCCCGGTTCCTAATAGGCCACGGATCAGGACTAGTCTGTGCCTGGGGTTGGGGACCCTGCTCTAGAGAGCTGGCTTACTGCAGTGAGGTGGTCAGAGCTGCCAGGCTGGCCCAGGGTTGGGGACCCTGCTCTAGAGAGCTGGCTTACTGCAGTGAGGTAGTCGGAGCTGCCAGGCTGGCCCTGGTTTCGTGCAGTCTTGTAGAGCCACCCCCGAGTCTCAAGACGCTAGAGCGTCCTCAGCAATACATTCCCCAAGTCCCTTCATGAAACTCAAGTCAGGGATTCTTCAAAAGTGCAGAGATACTTTGTCCAGGCGCGAAGTCAAGTTCGTGTTCATTCCAGAGAATGATTAACAACAGTACCTTCTCCATGGCATGGTAAGGGAAACATGCAATTCACAAGCCATGTTTATCATACAATTCTATAAACAGTTCATAAAGAGAAGAAAGGTTTTCTCTCTTTAAAAAGTTTGTATTTGTTTATTTTTTGAGATGGGGTCTTACTGTGTTGCCCAGGCTGGAGTGCAGTGATGCAATCACAGCTCACTACAGCCTTGACCTCCCAGGCTCAAGCAATCCTCCCATCTCAGCTTCTTGAGTAGCTTGGACCACAGGTGTGCACCACCACACCTGGCTAATTTTTAATTTTTTGTAGACAAGGGGGTCTCTCTATATTGCCCAGGCTGGTCTCAAATTCCTGAACTCAAGAGACCCTCCTGCATTGGTCTCCCAAAGTGCTAGAATTACAGGCATGAGCCGCTGCACCTAGCCTCTTTCTATGAAGTTTTTGGATTCAAAAGAGACCGGGAAGCTTGGCCCCACACTGTTATGAGGTGTGATCTGCTGGTGGTGGGGTTCTGGCTGGGTTTTTTTTCCTCGCTTTTCTCTGCTTATTCTAAAATTTCCACAATAGGCATGCATTGCTTTTATTTTGAAAAATATATAGATACCTGTATACATGGTTTTAAAATATATATGTAGTTTAAACTGTATATAAATATAAAATTGACAGTCCATCTCTGGCTGTCGTGCCCCCTGCTTTGTGTAAGTGGAGCAAGCTCTGTGCACCTCCCTGCAGCGCTGTCCCGGGCCTGCTTCCCACAGGTCAGTCTCTCCTTTGGCCTCTCCTGCAGGTCATCAACGGGCTGGTGCAGACCACCGGCTGGCCCAGCGTCGTCACCTGCCTCGGCAACTGGTTTGGAAAAGGAAGGTGAGAAAAAGCAGCCCTGTTTCCAATAGCAGATGAAAACTAGACCATTTTACTTTTAGTTTTTCTGTAGACTGATTACAGCAAAAACACTTTAGTATCCTCTTTAAAATAAGATGGCTGAAACCTCTGGGGCTTGAATTGCTGAAATTCAGATGGCCTGTGTCCCACGAGACAGGGGAGCTCCGCCCTCCCACTGTGGGCCTGGTGAAGTCCGTGTCACTCGGCGGCTCCTCTGACAGCTGCATCTGGCCTCCCAGGTGTTGTGGGAGATGCAGAGTCCAGGACCCTGCCCCAGGCCTTTTGAAGCCAAAGCTACATGTTAACATGGGAGTTTGGGAAGTCCCGACCTGGGTCACCCAGCGCACAGCACCAAAGTAGCAGAGCTGGGACCCAGCCTGGCGAGTCCAGATTTATTTGTAAATGGCTTTTATTTTATACAGATAAAATTTATTTATTTGTAAAATTCAGCTCAGCCAGGCCAAAGGCTTATTTATGGTGGACGATCGCAAACAAGATGCGGAAGCTAAAACGGGAACACCAGCGTCATCAGGTCTTAAGTCTTAGATACTGTGCCTCATTCACCTGGTGTGTGCATCCATGAGTTTTGTTCAAATGACAGTTCATCAAGTGACTGTATGTATTAATTGATTGTAGAGGCACAAATTTTAATTTCAGGCCTTCCAAGACTTTCAGGGAAAGGCCTCTTTCTTCTTCTTGAGTACAGAATGCGCTCAGAGCAAGAGGTAGAATGGGTGATGGCACAGCCTGAGGCCACATAAACACATCAGCTCTCGTGAGCATCGCGAGTCCTGCATGGCACAGAAGCAGGGTCTGCATGGCCCCCCGTTGATTCTGCGCCGACTCCCTACTTTGCAGGCACTGCTGCGCCCTGCACTGCTGGACTCGTTTCAGCTTCTCAGCTCCATCTTCTGTCTTCTGTTTTGTTGTGCTGCAGGAGAGGTTTGATTATGGGGGTCTGGAACTCCCACACCTCCGTGGGCAACATCTTGGGGTCATTGATCGCTGGCTACTGGGTGTCCACATGCTGGGGCCTGTCCTTCGTCGTGCCTGGAGCCATCGTGGCAGCCATGGGGATAGTGTGCTTTCTCTTCCTCATTGAACGTAAGTGCACGTGGCCTTGGAGACCACCCACCAAGGGAGGCCTCGGATTTCCCTGCCTGGGTGGGCCTTGGGGGCGAGTGTGAGAGCTGCGTGGCCTAGCGCCCTGTTTGCCCGTGGCTGCCTCAGCGCTCTTCTTACCAGGGAGACTTCCCCGGGGAGCCGGTTCTCTCCTGGTTTTGCTGGATTTCCTACTCTCCCCTGATTCTGGAGTGACCCATGTCCCCATTCCTTCCTCCCGTCCTCCTGTCCTCCCTTGCCCCGGCATCAGGAGTTCATGCATGGGAGTCTTCCATCTTCCCACAGGCTGTTCCTTCTCATGCCCATCTTGCCACCACAGCCTGAATTGGACCCAGTCAGCTCTTTGCCTTCTGATAAGATATATCTTGGACAGTGTTATAAAAGACTGACTTAATATCTTAACTGGGTAAAAAGTATCTCTTGGAAAATCAAATCTCTTATTCCATTTCAGATTCAATAGCAAACTCTTTATTTAATTGAATTTGAAATTCATTTCTGAAGTAGAGATCCAGCAGGCTCTGGTGCTGAGAAGATTCAGGACAGTTACAGCAAGAATAGAGATGCCCGGGTGGCCCTGGCGGTCACACGACAGGGGCTCGAATCCCGCAAGCCATTCTGATAAGCTGTACTCAACTCTTAGTTCTTTGACTGAGTTTAAACCATATGGCAGGAGACAGCTCCCTCATGCTGCCTGCCAGGTAGGGACACTCAGAGCCAGCTCCCTCCAGCCACACTGGGCATTGCTGATCACTTCAGCTCTGCATGCAAAAGTTCATCCATATTCCATTTAGTCGCTCACTTTTTTTGTCTTGCAAAAGCTAACCTTTTAATTTTTAAGGTAACCATCATCTGGCCACACTGTGAGTTTGGAGACTCTCACCCCATGCTTCTGTGTTGGTGAAAATGGAAATAAACATTCAGATGAGGAATGTCCAGACACACCCATTGGTGTGAGCAAAAAGTGGGGGCCCCGGGCTGCACTCCGCTCCCCTTTCCCCGCTTCTGCAGAGGCTGAGTAAGCCTTCGGCCACACCCCAAACAGCCTGAGCAGGGGCCTCCTGGGATGGGTGGGGGTCTGGATCCCTCCCAGTGGGCCAGCATGTGGCTTTCAGCTCTGGCTGGTGTGTCACTGCAGTTCTGAGAAAGGCCATTTCCACCACCTGTTTTCTTCCGCTCTGGTTCCTAGAACCTGGAGTTCTGTGCCCCTGCGCTCCAAGTGTTTGAGACACCAGCCACCCGGAGAACAATGTGCCTCTCTTTGTTAGCGCACAGGGGCCCCTGGGTGTCTCCTGCCTGAGGGTAGAGTCCATGGGGTCTTCTGTTCTCTTCCTTAACTGGAAAGGGGCTGGCTCTGGGGAGAAAAGGACATGTGGAAGGGAAAGGAGCTTGCTCAATGGCCGGGACCTCAGCACCCGCTCCAGGCATTCACGGCCCTATGTTGATGTTTGTCTCTGTAAGCAGAGAGAGCTCAGCTCTTGTGAATAAGCCTCCCTGATCCAATTTGGGCAGATAGCAATGAGCCAGATGCCCCCTGTCCCTGGGTCCTCTGGCCACAGGCCCACTCACCTACAGGAAGGCTGCATGCTTCATCTCTAGCCAAACAAAACCAAACTACCAGAACCTCCTGCCCAGGGAATCTTTCTGACACTCTTTCCCCTTGTGCCTGGGAGGTGCACTGTGTCTGAATGATGAGACCCAGCTGTGACAACAGTGGCTGGATGCTGAGTCTGAGAACAGGAGCTCTTTGCAGATAGGGAGGAAACATCAAGTGCCCCTTGGTTTGTTTCTGCCCCTCCTTGTCCCGAATCACTGATCCTGGGCAGGTACTAAAGGCATCAGATGTGCCATTCTTGCGGTCAACAGAGGATGTGGCTTTCTCTGCTGCTCCTTCACTCTTGTCTCCTGCCCAGGGTGAGCCCCAAAGGACAGGGCGTCCCCTGCTCCTTTCTCAGGCCTCTCTGAGTCTCCTTTCTGAAGCTGTTCTCAAATGTGTCCCAGCCAAGGGACGTGTGTGCCCAAGTCCCTGAAGGTGAAAGTCCAGGAAGAGCCATATCAGGGGAAGCCCCTGGCTTACCCCTGGGGGCATCACACTGTGAGTGGATACCGATGGGGTGAGTTGGCTGATGTCCTTTAAATTGGTGACCATACATCACAGGTGGACCATTGGGACTGCCCAACATGCCGACCATGTGTCCTTGGTCAGTGGCCTCGCCCTATGGGCTGTGCCCAGGACAGGAGGGCGACGCACCCCACAGCCAGCCACGGACCTCTGGGTGCAGACCCACCTGGCCCTACGGCATGTTGATAATAACCTTATCAACAAAACCCAGACAAGAGGTTTGATGCTGGCCTCGAGGCCAGCAGGAGTGTGCTCGGCAGCTGCATGTCCCTCTATGATGTCACCCTGTGTTGTATGGGAATGGACTTGGCTGTGGGGAGCCTGCAGCCCTGTAGCTCAGTTTGGGTTGCAAGGCAGTAACCAGTTTCATCCAAGGTGATAAAGAGACCAAGGTGCTTGGTAGTCAGAGGGGGCTGCAGAGGTGGAGCGAGAAGCAGTAGGGCTGGTTTCCCGCAGCACCTAGAGGCCTGGGGTCTGACTCTGGGTTCCCGCATTGCTCGGGGCAGGTTGCTGGTGTCTGTAAAGGACACGCTGAAGCCTCACTTCTGGTTCTGTTCCTTTTCAAGTTTCCTCCCTTCCTTGCATTTACACAAAGATGTTTGTTCCATATCAAGATAGATGTTTTATCTCCACTCATTTTTATTTCTAATGAATTTCATAACATGAAATACCTCATTACAGACATTCTTCCAGCCTCGCTCCCCTGATGTGCTTTTCCTGGTTTTGCTTTTCTTCTGGGGCTTGTCCTCTGAATGAGAGTCGTGGGCTTGTCCACACAGCGTCCGCATGCTCTGCTTGTGATTATTGGCCACGCTGGGAAGTATTTTCCATATTTAAAGTAGCGTTCACGTTCACAGTGTTGGCACTGGCTGGCGGTGATCTGCCATACCCCCCTTGCACACAAGTGGGCTGCCAGGCCGAGTGACTGGGGACAGGCCGGGGCGTGTGCGGGAGTCACTGGTGGGACAGCCAAGCTGTGCCCTTGCCCTCACCTGGCATGCTATGGCGATGGCTTTTTTCTGAAACGAATGCCAATTTAGTAAAGGTATAAGATGGCATCTTGTGTTTTATTAAATTTTATTGTGTATATTTAAGGTATGCAACATGGTGTTACAGATACATAGAGATAGTAAAAAGGTTACTAGTAAAGCGAAGCAAGTTAACATAGCCATCGCAACTCACAGCTGCCCGCTTTTGTTTTTGTGGCAAGAGCAGCTCAAATCCACTCATTTAATGTGAATCCTGCATACAGTCCAGTTTCACACCCGGTGCTCCCGTGTTGCCCTGTCCTCGGGTTACGTAGCTTACTTGGCATTGCCATGGTGGTGGACCTGCTCAGCCTCACTCATGTTTGCTCTTTCAGATCCGAACGACGTCAGGTGCTCCTCCACCCTGGTGACGGTAAGGACCCTGTTTTCTTGTCCTTTTCTAGAACAGTGTGCGGTTCTGACCACTTCCCCAGCCTGCTCCTGCCTGTGCGGTGTCAGACAGAAACACACAGGGTAGACAGAAGTCCCACCCTCAAAACATTGGCAGTTCTAGGAATAGAGAATATTCTGTTTTGGGTTTCGCTGATAATAACCTTATCAGCAAAACCCAGACAAGAGGTTCAATGCTGTCCAGATGAAGGACTTCATGCTAAGGGGAACCAAAGGCTGGGCCCTGGCCAGGCCTCCTCAGGAGTGGAGACCTCCTGGTTTCCCCAGGGGCCTCAGTGTGACGGGGAAAAACGCACGTGTCAGCTGCCTGCCATCACTTAAGTTGGTGGCTGCACGTCTCAGGTGGCCGAGAGGTCTGCCCAGCACGCCATTCCTTCTCTTCTGTACCCCTGCCCAGCTCAGCCAGCGTAGGCCCTGCAGGCAGGATTGCTGACCACGTTGGCTGCCATGAATGAGCCCTGCCCTAGCTGCCTCCACCCGCAGCCAGTCACCACTGGCCACTTTCCCACCTGGCTAAGGCCAGCCCTCCCGCGGTACCGGTCCCCTCCCTCTCATGGCCCAGGGCTTGACTCCCGCAGACACACCCCCCGCCCCAAATACCATTCCTGGCACACTCATGTAGTATTGGTGGCTGTCTTGGAAGAAAGTCCCTCTGGCCCTCATGCCTGCTCCCAGCCGCCCCGCTCCCCATGTCCACTGGCATGACACCCCTCCTGTCTGCAGGCCACCGCCACCTCACGGGAACAGCCCATCAGATCCCAGCAACGTCACCCGGACACATAGGGTGGTCAGCTCTCTGGCCTCACCCTGCTGGGCCCGTCGCCCGCGTCTGACCCAATGCTTCCCTCCCTCTGGGGGTCAGCTCTCTTCCCTCCCTCTGGGAAAGGCTCCCCTACCCGGGCTAACATGTTAGTCACGTCTGTGCCGAGTGTCAGACCCCAGATGTGGGGGTGCCCCCAGGCTGCCCTGCGGCCTCCTCTCTCCTTGTCTGCCCGCTCACTGCAGGAGAGCGCGCTCGGGCCTTTCAGCGGCTCCAGGTGCGTTGATGTCGAGTCACCATGCTGTCCCCAGAGTGACCCACCCCTGAGCTCCGCAATCTGAGGTCTCACCACCACTCAACCTTCCCACGGAGATGTCTGAGTGTCCTTCAGACTTAACACGACTGGAGGAGATCTCTTGATTTTACCCCTGCACAAGCCGATCCCCCAGCATCCCCCATCTCAGTCAGGAAGCTGCTGTCCACCCTGTGGACAGGCCAGACCCGAGGAGCCAGCCCAACACCCCCTCCCTTCAGCCCCGCACCCCATCCTTGGCCATGTTCTGTCAGTTCTGCTCTGTTCTGTGAGGGGATGTGGAATGGAAACCCTCTCACCTCCTCCGCCTCTACCACCCTGGTCCCCGTCACCACCGTCAGCTCTCCTCCGAGCCACTGCTCATCAGCCTCCTAGAACGATCCACTCTTGCTCCCCAGAATCTCTTCTTCACACCGCACTTGCAGAGACTGTATTGATACAGACGCCAGAGCACATCAGCCCTTGCACAACACAGTCCAGTGGCTCCATGTCGCCCCGTGTGAAATCCTCACCAGTCCATCTGGTTGGTCTCTGTCACCCTCACAGAAGGGTGCGAGCCCCTCGGGCCTGGATCATCACTGGGTCCCGGCACCTGGGGCAGCACCTGGCCTCGTGCGGGAGGGGGGCCAGAGTCCTTTTTCTGTCTTTTCATACCTCGGGCTCCTGGGTGTGATTCATATGGAAAGAAGGGTTCTGATACTTGATGACAAAAACAAAGAAACAAAATGAAGTTTGAAAACCAGTGCCTTCAGGAAGGTCAAACACCATATGATGTTCTTAAAACTATGGTTGATATTTTAAAATGTTTTAAAAAGCCGTGTTCCTGCCCTGAGCATGAATTTCAGTTTCCAAGCTTGTACAGTCGTGCCGTGAAGTAGCTTAAAGCTGCCCGGACCAGCCGTCTTGAGACTGGGGAGAACTTCGCACACACCTTCCGCCCTGGAACACCTTCTGTCCTCTAAGAAGAGCTTTTCTCACCCAGGGGCGGCCAGGCCTGAGGATAGGAAGCAGGCGTGCAGGGGGTTTTGGGGAGGAGCAGCTCTTCCTCACACACAGCTTTTAGGAATATGAGAGCTCATCTAGGCGAGAGGCATTGCTTCTGCTCCTCGTGTGTATGAGTTTGGGGCTGAAGCCTGTGTTTCATTCTCCCCGTTCAAATCCTCTCCGAGCAGTTCACTGAGATCTACTGGTGCCCAGGTGTCCCCGACGTGCCCTGAGGCAGGTGGTCCAGAGAAACAGCTTCTCGTCCTCTCTCCTCTCCATGTTGGCTGGTCGCAGAGGGAGAGATGGCTGATATCTGGGGATATTTTATCAGCTTCTGCAAACAGCCCCAAAGTTCTTTTTCCTGCAGGAATGTTACCTGCTCTGTGCAGGACACCAACGAGACCCTTGTCACGGGCCTTCCTGAGGGAGCTGAGGGCAGTTTGGCCAATGTCCCATCAGCTGCTGTCCTTCTGTAGTATCTTCCCTTTATCACAAATGGGAGCTTTTGGGCAAAGCAAAATGCATTTGTAAGAGATTTCAGATGTGCTGACTTGTTCTGGGAAGTTCCCATGTGGAAGTGTTATTTTTAGGATAAAATTCTAATTTTTTCCAATATTTTAAAGTTCTTGTTATGGAGACTTTAAACATATAAAAAGGTAAAAATAACAGCATAACGAACCCCTGTGTACCCATTACCCAAGTTTCCAACAGTTGGCCAATCTGACTCTATCAACGCCCCTTCTAATACTATCCCTTCCCACCTCCTGCTGATGTATTTTGCAAGCAAATAGCAATCATCTTAATATTTTGTCTCTGACTACTTCAGTATGTTTCCAAAATATAAGGACTCTTTTATGTGAAACAAAATGTACTATACCATTATCACACTTAAAAACCAATGGCAAAGAATAGAAAAACAGTAGAGAAAATCAATGAAACCAAAAGTTGGTTCTTTGGAAAGATCAACAAAATTGATCATCCTGCACCTAGACTGACCAAGAATAAAGGAGGACTCAAATTACCAAAATCAGGACCAGGAAAGGTGGCATTTCTGCCACATTTACTGAAATAAAATGGATTATGAGGGAACTATATGCCAACCAATTAGAAAACTTTGAATAAATGGAAAAATTCATAGAAGGACAGAAACTACCAAAACTGACTCAAGAGAGGAGGAAATCTGAATAGATCTAAAACAAGTAAAGAAATTAAATTGTTAATTTAAAAACTTCACTCAAAGAAAATCCCAGGACCAGATGGCTTTACTGGTAAATTCTGCCAAACATGGAAAGAAGAGCTAATACTAATTACTCACAAACTCTTCCAAAAAATAAAAGTGGGGGGAAACTTCCTAATTCATTCTATGAGGTGTTATCGTAATAACAAAAGACTAAAACCTCTTAAGAAAACTGTACAACAGTATCTTTTATGAGTGTAGATGCAAAACTCAATAGCAGCAACCAGAATTCAGCCACCTACAAAAGGATTATTTACCATGATCAAGTGGGATTTATCCCAGGAATACACAGCTGGCTTAACAGGTAATGTTAATGTAATACACCATTTGAATGGATAAAGGACAAAAGCTGCATGATCATCTCAGTAGAAGCAGGCAAAGCACTGGACAAAATCCAGCACCCTTTCATGTGAAAACACTCAACAAACTAGGAATAGAAAGCAACTTCCTTGACCTGACAAAGGGCATCTAATAAAACCCACACCTCACAGTGTGCTTAATGGTGAAAGACCAGGTGCTTTCCGCCTGAGATCAGGAACAAGACTAGGAGGCCTGCTCTTGCCGTTTCTATTTACCATTGTAATGCAGGCAGGCCAGTTAGGCAAGAAAAGGATATAAACGGCATGCAGATTAGACAAGAAGTAAGACTACTTCTCTTTGCAGATGACATGATCTTTTATACAGAAAATCATAAGGAGTCCTCAAAAAAATGGTTAGAGTGAATTAATAAGTTAGCAAGGTTGCAGAAAACAAGACCAGTATACAAAAATCAATTGTATTTCTATACACTAGCAGTCAACAATCCAAAGATGAAATTAAGGCCGTTTCATTTACAATAGCATCAAAAAACATTACGCGAAGCAGAAGAAACCAGTCACAAAAGGTCACATATTGTATGATTTCATTCATATGAAATGTCCAGAATAGGCAAACCTAGAGATAGAAAGAAGATGAGTGGTTGTCAGGGACTAGGGTGGGAAGAAAGGGGGGATGACTGCTGACAGGTATGAGGTTTCTTTTTGGAGGTGATGAAAATGTTCTCAAATTGTAGTGATGGTTGCAAAACTGAATTTAAAAACCACTGAATTGTGAACATTAAATGAGTGAATGGTACAGTATGTGAATTCTGTCTCAACAATGCTATTACAAATTTTTAAAATCTATAATCCTTTCTATTATCATACAGCTACTCAATGGTCAGATCTGCTGATTGTCTTATAAATGATTTTGCACTGTGTTTGAGCAAGGCCTAGGCAAGGTCCACTCCTTCTGATTGGTTAATTTAATGTGCCTCTTAAGGCTCTTCTAATTTATAGGACCTCAATGGTTTTTTTTGTTTTGTTTTGTTTTGTTTTGTTTTGTTTTTTTGGTTTGGTGTTATTCTCCTTTGAATTGCTTTTGTCAAAATAAAAAATGGTCATTTTTTCTACCAAGTTTCCCACATTTGAGGCTTTGCTGACCTTGTACCTGGGGTGTGTTTCACGTGTTCCTCTATCCCCTGTATCTCCTGTAAACTGGAAACCTTCATCTGATCCAGATTTGATTTTTCTAATTAGTTTTTGTTTCAAATGAATCACAATTAATATGAAAGAGAGTATTCAATTCTTTACCATTTGCCTTGAGTCTGAGGGTGCTAATAAGAATGTGTCTCTTTATGCTTCTGCCCTGTGCTATTGAAGAGCCATGGGAACTTGTTCTTTTGATTTGTATTTGATTCCTAGGTTACTTAGGTTTAGGATATCTATTTTGTGCCCTAATCTAGGACCTCATTGGGTCCAAAACCCTGTATCAGTTGTGTCAAAATTAATGTTTTTATTAATATCTTCAGATTAGTTGGGGTTGTGTTCAGCAGCAAGCAATAGAAAAGCCCACAGGCAGTTACTAAAACAAGATGGGAAGGTATTTCTCTCTTCTATTCAAGAAATCTGGAGAGAGCCAGCCCAGGATGATGTGGGGTGTGCGTGTTGAGTGTCAGGGACACAGACTCCTCTTGTCTTTTCGTTCTTCCCCTGTGCATGGCTTCATGCCAAAGGTGATATATTCCAACCAATTAGAACAGTGCCAGGCACAGAGTTGATGCTTAATAATTATTTGTTGAATGAGTGAATGAATGATTGGTCAGTGGCTGCTGGAGCTCCAGCCATTACATCTGTATTCCAGCCAGCAGGAAGGAGGGAAAGGACATTAGGGACAGGCCCCTTCCCTTTCAGGAGACTTCCTAGCATTTCCTAACATCATTTCTGCTTAGCTGACCACATCAAGCTGAAAAGGAATTTTAAGATAGGCTTTGCCTGAGCACCCACGTTCCTGGCTGAAAAGCAGGAAGAAGAGGGCCCGGGTGATGCTGGCAGCCTCTGCTCACTGCGGGGGACGGGGGGCCGAGTGCTGGGGAGCAGGAACCCATCTCTGCTTCTGCCTGGAATGGTCGGATGATAAACTGGCCAGATAATCACCCCTAGCCTGGCAGGCTTTGCCCTCCCTCTGAGCACAAAACAAATGTATTTTTAAAGGTGTTTTGTTACATTTTCAAGTAATAAGATCAATAGTTTTTCTTAACCTTCAGAAACCTTTTCAGGGGAAATGCCTCGAAATGTAAAGGGTGGGATCCAACTGTCCATCTGAACGGAGTTTAACCCATGCTCTGTCTTCCCCGTGTTTCCCGCCTTTTGGAGGCCCCATAGATCTCTACTTGCAGATCTCACAGTTAGCGTGCAAGCCTGGTGGTTTTTCTTCTCAAATGCATCCAGCACTAGTGCCAGAAATCTAAATCATCTGGGCCTCTCTAAGCCTTAGAAATTGTTTTGTTATCATTTATACTAGAGTGAGTGAATAACATCTTTCTAAGTACAGACTGATTCCTTATTTTAAAGGAAGTTTGTTTGGACTATTTCATCAACAAACAACAACATTTTACCACTGGAGAATTTCAACAATTATTTTTATACCATTAATTATCTTCAAAAGGGGTTCTACATAGAGCCCTGTAGAAATAATGATTAGGAAATGGTACCTTTATTCTAGTGCCCAAGAAACTGCCTTCATTTCTTCACTTTTCACTTGGTAACAGGAGATAATTTTGAAATGATTTTGAGTTTTGGAGTGCATCAGTGCAGTCCTTCCACCTCCCTGCCCTCTAGCAGCAGGTCCACATTCTGGGGCTGTTGAGCAAGCCACACTCTCCTTCCCTAGAGACGGTTTTTTTTTTTTCCTTCAGAAGCATTCGGCTGACCTAGGGAGGGCAGGTGTTCCTCACATGTTAAAGGGAAAGATTGGTCTGTGCCTTTTCATTTCAAAACCATTGAAACAATCTCACGGCCATTCAGAAAAGTTAAGTTGGCTTAATGGGTATTTTTACATTTGATTACACCTCTGTCTTAGCTCTTTCTTCAAGAGAGGATTTTATGCTCACATTCTATTATCTGAGAGTCTGGAGTGTTGAGATCAACCATTATTCTGTTTAAATCAGTTGTCTTATGTCCTCTTGGTAGCTTTTTTGGGACGATAGTAAGTATCCTTGCTACAGTAAAGCCAGGTTTAATTTCTAGCTGTTGAATCAGTATCGCTCTAATGAAACTTTTTTTTTTACCAGCACTCAAAAGGCTATGAGAATGGTACAAACAGATTGAGACTCCAGAAGCAAATCTTGAAGAGCGAAAAGAACAAGCCTCTGGTAAGTCACACACAACTTCCACTTCCTAGAATGTCGGAGCTGCAGGAAAACTCCTTTGAGCCACGTCGGCTCTCTGTCCCTCTGCCTATGTGACATGTGTCACAAACATCCAGGTCTTAAAAAAATTCTGTCTCATTGTATTTCTTCAGTAAAATTTGAGTTTGCCCTTATTGGCTTTCTTTGGATTTTACACTTAACCAGTTCATTCATTCAGCAGCTCCGCACCTTTCAATGTCCCAGGCACTATTCCAGGTGTTGGGGGCGGTGCTGGTGTAGACGGAACGCAGGCAGAGACATCCCCCAAGCGGTGCCAAGCGGCAGGAAGACAGGCTGAGCAGGCTCTATTTTCAGCTGGCCTTGGGAGGCTTCCCTAGGCAGGCAGTGTTGAAACAGAGCTGTGAGGGACTGGAGGGAGAGTCTGCAGGTGCCTGAGCACAGAGGGTGTCAGGGTGAGGGGCGCACGGTGGGCTGGCCACGTGAGGTGCACACAGAAAACTGACATCATGGGACCAAGAAAAGGGAGAAGCAGGTAACAGAAGGAGGCATCTCCACCTCCCCTATGTCACAGATGAGGAATTCCGGACACAGAAATGCTAAGTTAATCTGCCTTGTCATCCGCGGTAGCAGGGAGGCCTCAGTGCAGGTCTGGCCCACCCCTAGCACCTGAGCCTCCTGTGCCCTACCCTTCCCATCATTGATCCTTGTAGAGGCTCCTCACATTGCTGCTGCTTAGCTGACCACACCAAGCTGCAGCGGGCATTTTAAATTTGAGTTTAATCATTGAAGTTATAAGCTGTTCTCTTTCTAGATCAGGTTTTTGTTTGTTTGGTTGGTTGGTTGTTTTTTTTTTTTTTTTTTTTTGAGACAAGATCTTACTCTGTCGCCCAGTCTGGAGTGCAGTGGCATGATCTCGGCTCACTGCAACCTCCGCCTCCTGGGTTCAAGTGATTCTCCTGCCTCAGCCTCCCTATTAGCTGGGATTACAGGCACCCACCACCACACCTGGCTGAATTTTGTATTTTTTTAGTAGAGATGGGGTTTCACCATGTTGGCCAGGCTAGTCTTGAACTCCTGACCTCAGGTGACCCACCCGCCTTAGCCTCCCAAAGTGCTGGAATTACAGGCTTCAGCCACCGCACCCGGCCTCTAAATAAGGTTTAACCTTCTACAGCAGACACAGGGCCTCTCCTCTGTCAGAAAGACCCCTCCAGCATGTGTAAGGGGCTGCTCTCCCTATCTTTTTAAATTAAATAGCTTAAAGGATTAATGTACTAAACATGCATCTCACTTTTTTATTGACTGCAGAAATTTATTTGTAGTGGCTGAAATATTAGAAAAGGGAAGAATGATGTCTCGTGCATCTGGGTTCTTGGATTTTAGGGAGACAGTAGGCAGTGACTAATTCAACCAAAATGCTTTAAAATCTGTACTTACTTCTGAATTCACATTTAAACAAATCATGTCCCAGTGTCCAAAAGGCTGTCACCCCTCTCTGATGATACTGAAGCCTGCCACTTCTTCTGAATCAAGACCACAGGCCCTTTCTTCTGGTGTAGTAACTGACCCATAGAACTAGCCTTGGCTTCTAAGTATAGTTTCTCTCTTTCCTTTTCCGGCCCTCTAAGAAAGGCTGTTTACAGACTTGCCATCAAGGAGCCAGTTATGTAAGTAAAGGCACTGGCAGGCCTTATTTCAGGCTGAGGGTGACGACCACAACCGGGCGCATGCTGACCTCGCTTACGTGGCATCCCCTTTCGGCGGGCCTGCCATTGCTCTTGGGTCAGGGTAGGCGGGGAGAGTCCCCATGAGGTTGGCTGGACACCCTGGATGTCCCCTTTCCCAGAGTGACCGCTGGGCTCAGTGGGGTGTCACCCAGCCCCTGACCTCCACTCCTTTTCAGACAGAGCTGCTACACTATGTCACGTAGCAGGCAGTTTCTCAGTGGCCTCTTGAAGAGACATGTAAAGAAAGCTGGGGGGCGGGGAGCAAATGTGGGAAAGAGAATGAGGCGCTGCTGTCACTTGGCCACGTGGCGAGCCCGCAGGTCCCCGCGGGCGTTTTAGAGGATTGTCTTGGGGACGGTCGCACTTGCCATCCCTGTAGTCACTTGTCACTTTTCCTCCTTGACGTCTCTGAGGATCCTTCTGATTGGCTGTGGCTCAAGAACTGTTGGGCCCACCAAACGCGGCGTGAGCACGGAGTGGGTATTTGGAGGTTGAATGTGACTCCACCGTGCACTTTGCACGCCAAGTGGGGACTCCACAAATCTCTCTTGTGATGGCCTTTCCCAAAGGGAAGCTGCAGACAGCATCGGGTAGCGGGGTGAGCTTAGCATTTTTAGATAAAGCGATCGTTATTACGCAGTCCCCCCACATGCGTCTGTGTGTATTTTTGTTGTGTGTGGGGGCATTTTAGTAGAGGGAACCCTTTTCTCTTTGAAAGTGTAAGCCCTAAGCGTGGAGTGCACTGGCCACAGAAGCCCCCACACCCACCGGGGGCTCCACAGATCCCATTTGGGGCTCTTGGGACACAGACTGGAAACTGCTTGTTTAGAGGCAGAGGTGCCTCTTGGCCTCCAGCCTTGTCTTGGTCCACCCAGTGGCTTCTTGTTTGCTATGTAAGGAGGAGGCAGCAGCAGCCCCCTGTTTGTTTTGGAAAACCAGCCATGGCCCCACACTCTTTCCCATCTCCTCCAGGAGCAAACAACTCAGGTATGGTGGCTACAAGTCCTGTTTAAGATGAGTGGCTGTGAGCACAGGGCCCGTTCTCAGCAGAAACAGAGCCTTCTGTCTGTCTCGGGGGCTCCTTGCTGCTTAGATAAGGAGCAGAGGGTCTGTGTCTGTGGCTTTAAACCAGCCCAGCAAGTGGACCCTGAAGCACTTTACAAATCCTGCAAGGGCCGTGGGCGGCCTTTGGGCATCTGGGTCCTACCTGAGGCCAAGTAGGTCTTCTGTGTTGACCTGCGGTCACTTCTCTGCGGGTCAGAGGGTGCGCTTCTCCTGGCTAAGCGGCCTCGTTCCGCTTGACTTTTCTCCAGCTGGCTGCATTTCACCCACTGCTGAGCCTGTTTCCTGCGGAACGGCCTGTGAAGTCCTGTAGCCCTCAGCTTGCTATGAGTGGAACTCGCCTGGGGCTGCCCCAGGGACTGCTTCCGTGGGGCTGGGGGAATTCGAGGCTTCTCAAAGCCCCCCGAGGAGATTCCAGTGCTTAGCCACAGTAGAGCATTACTGATGTAGTTTTCTAAACTGGACGATTAGCAGAATTCATGAGAGAAAAGTTTATTCAGAAACTCAAGTCGCCATTCTTTGCTTTCACGTGCCGTGATGGGATTATCATCGGGAGCATGTTAGGCATCTGCACTCAGCCTTGTCATCTTCATTCCAGAGCACCTGACTATGTGGCCACATGTGAATATCTTCATCAGAGACCCGCTCTCCATGCCAGAGTCCTAGCTGTGAAGCCGGGCTTCCTGGGGCACGTAGACGCTGGGCTGCCCCCAAGGCCACCCACTGGGTGCCCACACTGGGCTGCACTCGGTGCCACCTGCCACCCGGTTTCCAAATGTCTGTTTTCCACTGGAAGAGAATTCTAAATATTCTAAATATCAAGGGGCAGGGGAATGTGGAATACATTACCATTTTCTTTTTTTTTTTTAATTAAACTACATTTTTAGTCCAACTTATAACAGGTTATAGTGAGATAAGTACCACAAAGCCTGTTTGATTTTGTGAAAGGTCTGAGATACCTAGAAGCATTTCTTTGTAAGACCTTGAACCTCATAGCTCACTCATGAAGAATATTTTTATTTTATTTTCATTCTTTTTTGAGACAGGGTCTTGCCCGGGCTGAAGGACAGCCGCACAATCACAGCTCACTGCAGCCTCCACCTCCTGGGCTCAGGTGATCCTCCTGCCTCAGCCTCCAGAGCAGCTAGGACTACAAGCGCATACCACCACATTCCACTATTTTTTTTTAGGTCTTACTGTGTGGCCCAGGCTAAGATTATTTTTATGTTATCCTTGCTCTGACTTGAAATCCCACTCTAGGTTGGGGAATCACTCTTCTTTGCTTTAATGAATGTACACTTTGTCCTTTAGGAACGTCTAGACAATCAGAATTCATAAATATCAGAATAGGTGTATTTTAAAATAATGTTGGTGTATTTTAAAATAATGTTATTTCTGGTCATATATGGCCATTGTGAACTCCTAAAAAATGCAGGATCATGTAAAGAATTTCTTATTAGCATTTCGATAAAAATTACACATAATTCCACCACTCGCTGACAACCATTGTTGGCTTAGATTTTAGCTTCTTTCTTTCTAGAAATAGATCCTATAGTTGCCTAGTTACATACGTAGATATTTAAACATTCTTTGAGGTTATAATGACATGCAGTTTTGAATGATGTGTTATTTAATGTGTCATAAGCATTTTCCGTCATTAAAATCTCCCAACCTTTTTTTTACAAGATGTCATTCGTATGGATGTATTTGAATTTTCTATTTTTTCTCAATGATGATGTGACATCCATTTTACTTTATAAGTATCTTTTTACTTTTCAAATTATTTTTTGCCAATAGATTCCTAGAATTTCTGGATCAGAGGATCTGTGTACCTAGCCGTTCATGAAAATGCATGAATGCTAATCATTCTAACACAGTGGCCAGGTGGGAATGTCACCCAGGATGTCTCCAAGGCAGTGGAAGAGAGAGCCGCCAGGCACCCTCGTCATTAGGAAGCCTGGCCCCACTTCACCCAGACTGCCCGGCTGGTAACACCTTTCCTTTTTGTTCCCAATGGATTTGCCTCCAGGACCCAGAGATGCAGTGCCTGCTGCTCTCAGATGGGAAGGGCTCCATCCACCCGAACCACGTCGTCATTCTCCCCGGGGACGGTGGGAGTGGCACGGCCGCCATCAGCTTCACAGGGGCCTTGAAAATTCCAGTAAGTAAACGTGCCCAGGAGGAGTTTCAGAAAGGGCTGCTGTGCTGGCTGTGGGAAGTCTGGTCGGTTGATGATTAAGCTTAAAAAGACATCTGTGGTTGTAGAACCCGGGGATTCGAATCCATAGCCAAAGCTAGACGCTGCACAGTGCTAGCTTCAGGACTGAATATGGCTGCAGTGATATTTGTTCGCCTCATACCATGTTTAAATTTTTTTTGAAATTCGTTTTCTCCATTTAGAAATTCAGGTTCATAGAAAAATGGGGCTCCCTGCCTTCACTGGAAAAACGGAAAGCCTGGCACCCTGGGCCTGCCCCCATGTGACAGGTTGGGGAACTGAGGCCCTGACTACTGTGCCACCTGGCCCCTGTGGCCCGGCCCCTCCCCAGTGCACTTGCCCTCCCACAGGCCTTGAGCGTGAGCCCATGGGAGGCGCTGGCACTGAGTGCTGCGCCGTGGCCTTCGCGAGCCCGGCTGGATTCTCTTTCCCTTTAAAGTGCCTTTAGGCTGGGCGCAGTGGCTCACGCCTATAATCCCAGCACTTTGGGAGGCCGAGGCAGGCAGATCACCTGAGGTCAGGAGTTCAAAACCAGCCTGGCCAACATGGCAAAAACCGGTCTTTACTAAAAATACAAAAATTAGCTGGGCGTGGTGGCAGGCGCCTGTAGTCCTAGCTACTCAGGAGGCTGAGGCGGGAGAATCGCTTGAACCCGGGAGGCAGAAGTTGCAGTGAGCCAAGATTGTGCCACTGCACTCCAGCCTGGGTGACAGAGCAAGACTCTGTCTCAAAAAAAAAAAAAAACCCAAAAAGTGCCTTCAGTGCCACAGCCCGTGGTCTGATTGCCCGTGTGTGTGAGCAGAGGATGCCAAGAGTGAGGGGGAGGATGCAGGGACCAAGGGAAGAACGAGTAGCACAGGCGGGAGAAGCCCTCAGAAGCTGGACCGGGCTGGTCCTCGGTGGTGCTGCTGGCCTTGCCTCCAGACTAGAAGGGCGTGATCAGCGGGTGATCAGTATCGGGAACAAGGTGACTTGGAGCAGATGAGCGGGAGGGGCACTGTAGGGAGATTTCTTGCTGCTTTCAGTTTTTATTACATTGATGGACTCTCTCAGCAGAGAATCTAAGGAGCTGTGCACAGGGTGTGGAGACACTGTGTTCTTCCGATGGGGGCAGAGGGCTGAGAGCAGGGGCGTGGGAGGGAGACCAGACCCTGCTGTGTGGGCTGGGCAGGCTGTCCAGGGTGGGCTGTCCAGGGGGCGCTGTCCAGGGTGGGCTGTTTGGCGGGGCTGTCCAGGCCGTGCTCTCCAGCACTGACAGCCACAGCACCAGGGAGCAGACACAGCTCTCGCTTGTTGACACAACCTAGAGAAAGGCAGAGGGCCAGGGGCACAGGCCCGAGGCCCCTCAGCAGGTCAGGGCTGGAAGTATAAACAATGCAACCCAGACCTCAAAATCATATCACAGAAATTAAAGACTGGGGAGAACCTTGGCTTCAGAACAGAAAGTATTCCAGTGCCCAGGAGAAACTGGGTCTGCAGAGGTGGACCCTGGAGCCAGTGTTCAGCCAGAGGAGAACGTCCCAGCCCAGGGTGGGCACCAGCTTATGGGGAAAGGGCTGTGCATGCTGGCCTGTGGAAGCTGCTGGGTTTAAGTAAAAAGATTTGTTTTTAATTGTGTCCTTAATGCTAGTGACCTTTTCTGCTGTACCTTCCTCTGTAGCTACCCCCAAATACTTGTACCAAAAGTAGGGTGCACACTAGCATAAAAATACAGGTTTTTATATAGTGGAGGTATAGACAGTATGGGCTTCAGAGGTCCCGCTCAAGCCTCCCCCTGCCACCGCCAGGCTGAGTGTTCAGGCAAGTGTGGCACACTCTGAGCCTCCATGTCCTCATCTGTCACACGGGTTCCATCCCTGGGGTAATACCATATGTTGTTCTGAGGATGAAGTGAGGTCATTTAATGACAACTAAGCACAATGCCAGGCCCATGAAAGGCATACGGTAAATTACACGTACACATCCTCATCAACTGTGAAGACATCAACTCGTTTCATTTTAGAATGACTTGGCAAAGTAGAGCGCTGGGTTCCCCCGGCCCCCATTCTGATTGATTTCCAGTGCACAGACGGCTGGGGGATTCAGTGCCACAATGTTACTGGATTTCTCACTCTGAATTTTCAGATGGCATCTGGAATTTTTATCTCACAAGTGCCACCTCTTTCTAAAAGTAGACATAAAACAAACACAAACAGGCATTTTACAGAACCCACCACTCGATTTCCTCACTCATACCTACGTGTCTCTTTTCACTGTTTTCCCTGATACGGACTGGTCTGTAGTACTCACAAGGCGGGATGCGGTAGCCTGTACGCCTGTGTGCTGACACAATGGTCGGAATTGTTTCATCTGTGTGTTTCCAGGTGGCTTGATAATGTACAATGATTTCAGTTCCAGGGAAGAAGAAGGAGCCATTCGATACTCAGTCCACTGCACCCGGCTATACGAGAACTCTTTTAATAGCTAAGTTTTCCAGGCGATGTAGTATGAAAATCAAACCCGTCCATGTTTGCATTGACTCGACTCTGATGTAAAGACACTGGGTTTTGATCCTGAACTCCATTTCGAAATTCAGAAACGCCGTAGATAAACAGGGCTTCCTGTCTTCACTTGAAAAGTAGAAAATCTGGCCACGCTGGGCCTGCACCCCATGTGACAGTGGCCGAGGAGCTGCAGCTGGGGCCCCACCCTTCTCAGAGGCCCCGCCCCTCCCTGGTGCCCCTGCTCGGGGTGAGCGCTCCACTGTTCCCGCGTCCTCACTACACCACACAGCGGTGCAGCACCCTCCCCAGTACGTGTCTGGAGGTGCTAAAGCCAGACCAGAGACAGGATGTCTTTATGGGAGCGAAGTCATATTTAACTCTGTTGCATGTTTACACACACCTGCTGACTCCACATTTGGAGGAGACGCCTGACTGCTCTCTCTTTCAGGGCGTGATAGAGTTCTCACTGTGTCTGCTGTTTGCCAAGCTGGTCAGCTATACTTTCCTCTTCTGGCTGCCCCTGTACATCACGAATGTGGGTGAGTATCCACGCTAGAACACATTAAATTCCGCACAGTGACTGGGGTCCGAAGTCTCTTCTGTCTGCTGGTTTCTAGAGTATTGAAAACACAAGGTCATGAAGGGTGATTTGAGAGGTACACCTTTGAATAAAGTACTATGATGAAACATAGGCTAAAAGAATTCAGATATGCACATTGTATTGCCATAATGGTAAACTTTATGGGGCTTCACGGTTGACACGTTCTATCCCAGCTAGGGCTACCAGTTCATGAGGTACTTCCTGTTCTGGGGCAGCCTGCGTTTAAACGTGGGCTACACTGAACTTTGGATCATAGCAGCCAGTGAGCAGAAGCAGAGCCTTTGGGGACCTGAGAAAAGAAATCTCTGATACTCTGACCTGGAAATGGCTTCTGGGAGATAGCGTCTCATTTTTGGCAGGGCCGACAGTTTGCTTTATGTTTCAGAAGCCCCGCAGTGGCTGCAGCTATAGATTATCAGAAAACGTGCCAGTGAAATAGTAACATGCCCCCCCCATGTCATGTGTGAACACAGGACAGACAAGAGGAGATGAACAGTGCTTAAGGGAAGGAGCCGTTGAGTGGGGAAATTGGAACCCTGGCTGAGAGGAAGCGGGGATGGTCCAGGAGCACGTGGAGGGCTCTTCGCCCCGGGAGCCAGAGAGAGCGAGAGGAAGGAGAAGACACACGCTGGGCCGTCAGGGAGGGGCAGAATCCGGCAATGTCTCAAAGAGGAGGCCTTTGAGAATGGGGGAGGCTGAGGAGCACAGACCACCTATTCTGGGGATGCAGATCCCACCAGAGGAGGATGCTGGCAGCACGAGGCTGGAGACTGAATACCCTGGGAGGGAAGTTGAGGAGGCGGTCTGGGGACTGTCCCACAGCCTAGCAGGGACAGGGCCTGCCCCAAGGGCCAGTGACTGGGGAGGCAGCAAGGAGCACCCTTGGATCCTGAGGTTCCTTCCCTGCCTTGTGACCCCCGCCTCACTTTGGCCAGTGAGCTGCACACAGCTGGGCCTTCTTTCTCCCTTCTTCCCCTGTGGTTGCAAAAGGGGTGACGTTCTCAGGACTTGAGTCTTGAACTGCTGACATTTCCAGTCTGTTTGAAAAAAGCAAAATTTTCTGTCCATGCCATTGATGATTCGGAACGGCTGGGTTTGACCCACAGCCCCAGATGCCGTGCAGTTTCCTCTCCCACACCCGGCTGGCTCAGTCCACCTTAAAGCCCAGAACCTGTACAAAACCTCATGGAGGGCACCCTGAGCTGGTGCCGGGAGGCCTCTGTGTCCTCATCTGCAGTTCTAAAGCCGTGTGACAGGATGATCGAGCATCCAGGCGCCTTCCACACCTCCACTTCTGTCCTGTGTTAATCTAACTTTATGGCGGAGGGGCCCCTGGGGGGGTCTCTGAACCAAAGGTGGGATAATTAGACTGAGCAGAGGAAAGCCACGGTTTTTGGTTAAGAGTGTTTTCATCCTTTCTGTGTTACTTGTTTTTTAAATCTGAGTTAACTACTAATTGCTCCTCGGTATAAATCAAGCTTATGAAGCCAGAGTCCCGTGCACGGGTCCTGTTCTGCCATGGTGTGTCGCTGCGATGCGTGAAGGAGATCCTCACTGTTTCACACTCCGTTGTCATTTCAATAGATCACCTTGATGCCAAAAAGGCGGGGGAGCTCTCCACCCTGTTTGACGTGGGCGGAATCTTTGGTGAGTTCATTAAGACTTGTTCTGCTGCAACAATAATTTCGCAAGGCGCATGATCTCTGAGTTGATTCACTGCTCAGGGGAACAGGGTTCCCCAAGGTCTCATATCCCCTGAGTGGGCCCAGCCCAAGAGGGTCAGGCCGTCACCTGGGGGTGGTTTTATTGTCTCCCGTCCCTCCCCAGGGCCCTGACTCTGCACTTGAACAGCTTCCCTCAGAAATAGCATGCCAGCTGGACTCAGGGGCTCATGCCTGTTATCCAGCACTGTGGGATGCTGAGTTGGGAGGATCGCTTGAGGTCTTCTTGTTATGAAGACCAACCCAGGCAACATAACAAGACCCCTCTCTACAAAAAAAAAAAAAAAAGCATAGCTGGGTGTGGTGGCTCGAGCCTGTGGTTCCAGCCTTGGGAGGCTAGGATGGGAGAATGGCTTGAGTCTGGGAGGTTGAGGCTGCAGTGAGCCATGATCATGCCATTGTGCTCCAGCCTGGGTGACAGAGTGAGACCCCATCTCAAAACTAAAACAAAAAAAGCAGCAGCATGTCTCCTGGGCAGGTGACAGACTGGCCACCTTAGTACCTTGATAGGTAAAGGGGCTTCGAGGCTGGCCTAAAACCTGAACCTGCAGATGTCTCCAAGACTCTCACATCTGACCACAACCAATGGAGGCCTGTGGGGAGGTCAGGGCTGTGAGAAGGCTGCCTGCCCGTGATGCATGGAGAGAGGGGCTTGGGAAAGGAGGAGGCCGTTCTCCGAGCTCCTGCAGTTCTGCTTCCTCCCCGTGGGCTCATGCCCTGGGACGTCAGTGCCTGAAGCCCGCCTCTCCGTTGCAGGTGGGATCCTGGCAGGTGTGATCTCAGACCGACTGGAGAAAAGGGCCTCCACCTGCGGCCTGATGCTGCTGCTCGCGGCCCCCACGGTCAGCCGTGCTGCCTTCCCTGGGCCCCAAAGCCTGCAGACAGTCCCCCACTGTCCTCCTCGCCAGCCAGCATCCTTCCATCTGGCCCGTGCTCCACTTTCCTGACAAGCCCGCTTCATTCCCTCTCATGCCTCCTGTCCCCCGACCCCTCCCTTGGCACCTGCAGGCCTCCACCAGGCTCCCTCTGCCACGTGCACAGCTGCTGCTGGTTTAGCATGGGCCGCGCGCAAGCTGCTCCTCTCTTTGGGGTGCCCCCTTGCCCCAGACAAGCTCCTGCCCATCCTTTGGGATCCGCAACACCTCCCCAACCTCTTAGGCATCGTTGACACCTCCCGTCATGATGCATGGTGCATAGTGCTTTTCAGGCATTTCGTAGCTCCTGACCTTGGGCTGTGACACCCCCCTCTATGCCCCAGTTCCCTCATCTGGAAAATGGGACGTCAGTATCACCACCTTGCAGTGGGTTAGAAACAATGCACATGGTTACTGTTTTTATCATCGTAACATTAGAGGTAACAGGCTTGTCAGTGGACGCTGTAGCTCTGCGCGTCTGCCCCTCCGCTAGCCCCAGAACAAGGCCTGGCTTTCAGCCATCTTGGGGTTCTGGACATGGCCCAACACAGAACATGAAAGAATGCTGAGTGAAGAAATGCTTGGGTGGGCCCCTTGCTGCCACTGGGGGGTGGGCAGCCTGAGGACTTGGCAGTCAGACTCGCAAATCAGGAGCTCAAGAAGGCAGCCCCTTGGCTGGGTAGGAGCTCAGGAAGGCTGCCCTTGGCTGGGGGTGTAAGGTGGGAGCACCCTGCAGACTTCCCCAGGTCGCCTGGGGTGCTTGGTCCAAAGCCCTCGTGGTGGGGACAAGGCTCAGTACCTGAGACGGGAGGGGGCGTGGCCGTCACGCTTTTTTAGGGGTTTCCACTCTTGGGATGGCTGCCTGAGAATCACCCGCCGGGTTTTTGAGAAGTAGATTTCCAGCAATCTCGCACTGCTTGCAGCCAGCCATGGCTTTGACCTTGTGTCTTGATGTCCACAGCTCTACATCTTCTCCACCGTCAGCAAGATGGGGCTTGAGGCCACCATCGGTGAGTATGGAGGCCTTCCTGCTTTTCTTCCACACACGTTTTTAAAGTTCACACAGCTGGCAAGATGAAATACTAAAATCAACAGGCGCATTGAGCTGGTTTAACTGGAGCACATGGTGTGGCTAAAATTGTCCGTGTCCTCCTTTGGGCAAGACCATCTGGAGAGGCCGGGGTCTCCTCTCCCCAGTGCGAGGCTTGCCATTCTGTGGGTTTCACTGTGAGCTGGAAGTGTGCAAGCCTGGTCTGGGGCAGTGGCCCTGGGCACTCAGTGGAGAAGCCAGATGTGACCTTGAGGGCAGCCCCTCCTGGGGCCTTGGTGGGGCTGGCGGGGCTGCAGCAGCCTGCGACCTGCCACCTGCACCCTGCACCCCTGGTGGTGAGAGCAGCTCAGGCTGGCTCTTGGGCCACGTCAGGTAGCCAGGAACCTGGCGGTGTGACCTGAACAGGGTCCGGCCAGGAGCCAGGGCAGGTGGCCCCCCAGCCACCTCCTCCCAGCTTTGTCAGCTGCCCCTCCAGGAGCGGTTGCGTAACCTTGGAGGACTATTTTGAACACCCTGCAGGCAGCGCTATCAAACTATGCCTCCAGCACTTAGAAGTATGCTTTCTGTCCTAATGAGCCAGCAGTGGGGATGTGTGGTCCCCTTAAATGTTATCCAGAAGGCAGCTTGCCCACAGGAGAGGAAGCGGAATTTCCTGTGACCCCCCCTCAGGCCAGAAGCTTCCTCACCTGAGTGTGAGCCTAGAGGAGAGTTTAGGAAATGACCTGGTCCGGAGAGAGGGTGGGGGTCTGCCCTCAGCGAGCACCACAGCAGCTGTGGGTGAGGAGAGGAAGGCCTTTCTGCTGCAGATGAAGCAGGGGTCAGCCCAGGCCCAGGGTCCGGCCTGTGATCGCTCCCTCATGGTGGCAGCTGCTGCCCTTCGAGGGTGGATGAGCCTGAGTCTTAGGGAGGGTATGATTTGCTTTAGCTCCTCACTAGACAAGTTTAGAGGAAGCTGTTTCTGCTGCATCCCCTCCCTGTGCTCCCCAGGCGCCCACCTCAGGCTGCTCCTATGCATGCGGGGCTCTCTGGAGGGCACATTTCCATTCTTTGCCCCTCTGCCTCCCACAGCCATGCTGCTGCTCAGCGGAGCCCTGGTCAGTGGGCCCTACACACTCATCACCACCGCCGTCTCCGCCGACCTGGTGAGTAGAACCGGGAGAGACACCAGCCCTGTGGGCACCCTGCCATGTGCCATTCATGACAAAAGTGGCCTCCATTACTGTTAGTAAAACTGCATTTGCAGAAGCACGTTTTTGGCAGCTCACCTACACCTGTGGTCTCCAGCCTTCCCGCACCTGCCCCGCTGCTCACCCTTCTCCTAAAATCATGGGCAGGTTGGTGCAAAACTCACCGTTCAGCACAACAAAAGGCTCTTGGGCGCCATCCTCATGACTCAGGCGCCTTTTCAATCCAAGGGGGCAGGGGAGAGGTCCTGTCCTGGACGCCTCTGCAGAGAGAGAGGGGCCACGAAGAGGCGCTGGGGGATTCGGCCCTTCTCATCCAGGTACCATGCCCTGCCTTGGTCACCTTTGTATTGGACGTGTCCTGAAACTGCCTGAGTGTGCGTGAGCATGCAGACTTGTGTCTACATGGGCATGGAAAATTCTGGAAGGATCCACATCAGACCATTAGCAATGGTCAGCCTTCACGGGGTAGAGGCAGAGGAGAGACTTTCACTTATTTTTTAGACTTCAAAATACGTAGGTTCTGGATGATTTTCATATTGTGTGTTCTTTATTTTATATACATATTACGTGCATATACAAGCATTTATTTTTTTGAACGCTGGTTCATTTTTATAGTTTTAGGCTTCTAGGCACTGTTTCCCCTGATCTTTTTCCCCTCCTATTGTCCTCATTTTGGCTTTTTTCCCATTGTCTATGCAACATTTTCAAAACCAGAGCTCCTGGCGGCTGCTCACCGAGGACCTGCGCCAGCCTTGGTTTCTCAGCTCTCCCCTCCTCCCTTCTTCCCCTGGCGTTTGCTATTGATCAGGTTGAATTTTAGGTCCTGCAGAGACATCTGACAGGGGTCCCAGGAAGGCCCTGGCTGTCGAGGAATCCAGCAGACACGTGGATGTGTCTGGGAAGGAAGGCCGGCGCAGCTCAGGGCAGGGGCGCGCGTTGCGCACCTTCACGCCTCTCACGCTGGCTGCTCTGGGGCCTCAGGGAGGAGCAGGACTGTGCGGAACAAACGTTTTTTATTTGAAGAGAATCCTAAGAGTTCTTGTAACTAGAACCAAGCATTTCTGATGACTTTTGACTCTTAAAAACCCTTGAAGTTTTAACTCTCCAAGGCAAGCTTGGGGTGGAGTTTAAATAATGGGAAACACCCTCACGATGAGTTGTTTTGCAGAGCAGTTTGAGTAAATGGTCATACAGAGGCTTAGGTTTACTTCTCATGCTGTGGCGATAACTGCACGTCTGTTTTTCCTCTCTTCTAGGGGACTCATAAAAGTCTGAAAGGCAACGCGCACGCCCTCTCCACCGTGACGGCCATCATTGACGGGACGGGCTCTGTAGGTGCGCAGAGAGTTTTAGCTCTGGGAGGTTTGGTGTCTTAGGGGAAATCACATTGTCACATGCTCGTGAACAGGTACCCAGGGTTCCAACTGCATCTATAACATTGGGTGGGCCGGCTTCTTACTATACGAGCAGATGAGCAGGGGACATCGGCACACAGAGATGGTCACGCATGCCTGGGTGGCTTCAGAGAGACGGGCGTGTGACTAGCTGTGCGTGTCCAGGTTTTCACCCGAGGCAGTGGTTGGCAAACTACAGCCCGTGGGCTAACTCAGGTCCACTCATTATTTATCGCCTTCATCTCAAGAAAGGCAGAATCTTATTTAAATTACAGAAAAACCAATTGGTCCAAAATCATACAGGGTTCTGAGTGTTACCAGCATCGTCGAAGCTCTTGAAGAGAATTCAGTGGCATATTCTGGAATTTAAAAAGGTGGCAGAATAAGCAAGCCATCCCCTTAGGGAGCAGGCAGGTGGAGCTGGCAGAGTGCCAGTCTCCTCGCCCATGTGCAGCCTGACGGCACGGCTGTGGCCTTCCCTGAGCCCTTGTATGGGGAGCACGCACAGTGGCTGCACCTGCCAGGCGAAAATCAGGAGTTGCCACACCTGCCAGGTGAAGATCAGGAGGGTCCTTCCTACATGGGGGACGTTATGGGGGGCTGCCTGGTGTGGCTGTCACAGCTAATAAGGAGGACCTGGGGTGCCAACCTGTGTGTCACTTGCTGCGTGGGGGTCTCCAGTAAAGCCGAGTGTTTGGTAGATGAAGGTGGCTCGGTAGACCCAGGTCAGCCAGAACCTGGTGCTGGAGCCTTCCCACTGGCTCGTGCAGGGAGCTGATGTTGTTCTTGGCTGCCCCTGGCCTTGGTGCCAGCAGGCTGGAAACATCACAGCACGTTTCTGGGTGCCCACTGCTGTCTCAGTGATGCAGAATGCAAAGCCCTCCCGCCACATGGCCTCCCTGCTGCTCCTCCGAAGGCCAGGCTGGCCCCCGTGCGGGCTCTTTGCTCTGGTCACACCCCGTGCCTGGGAAGGTCCCCACAGGTGACCTCGTGCCGCACTCCCTCGTGCCGCACTCCCTCGTGCCGCACTCCCTCGTGCCGCACTCCCTCGTGCCGCACTCCCTCGTGCCTTGAGTCTTTGCCCAGATATCATCCTCTCAGCAAGACTTCCTGGGACCACCCTGCTGAGAACGCGTGAACCCTTCCGACTCGGCCTCCAGGCCCCTCTCCCGGGTCTGTTCTCTGGAGCGCTCTCCCCATCCGCAGTGGGATTCGGTGCACTCCTCTGTTTTGTCTCCTCTGTCTCCTGCCACTGGAACGGAAGCTCCAGGAGGACGGGATTTGCCTGATTCTTTGCTGTATCCCAGTGAACTGAATGAGCTGCTCCCAGACAGTTAGAATCGCAGCCGGGGCCCAGGCGGCTGACTGCACAGTGAGGAGCCAGGCCGGACAGGCCCCAGGCGCCCCCGCCCAGCCCTGGGTGGCGGGAACCCCAGCTCCACGCTGCTGCTGCTGCGTTTCCTTGTTCTGCGTTTCCTTGTTCTGGCCTTGTTCTGAGAAGCGGCGGGCAGGGTGGCCGTTGCCATGTGACACACGGCCTGATTCTGAGAAGCGGCGGGCAGGGTGGCCGTTGCCATGTCATGCGACACACGGCCTGGTTCTGAGAAGTGGTGGGCAGGGTGGCTGTTGCCATGTGACACACGGCCTGGTTCTGAGAAGCGGCGGGCAGGGTGGCCATTGCCATGTGACACATGGCCTGGTTCTGAGAAGCGGCAGGCAGGGTGGCCGTTGCCATGTCATGTGACACACGGCCTGGTTCTGAGAAGCGGCAGGCAGGGTGGCCGTTGTCATGCGACACACGGCCTGGTTCTGAGAAGTGGTGGGCAGGGTGGCTGTTGCTCAGAAAGCCACACTTTGGCTTTTGCTGTTCACCAAAGTGAGACCAGACCAGCCTCGTCTCTGCCCTTCATGTTGGTTCCTTCCTTTCACTGGATCCAGAGGGGCTTTGAGTGTATTGGGTGGCGGCAGTAGTCACCCCTCTGATCTTCTGTCTTGGGCATCTCAGTAGGAAGTCGGGGGACTGCGGGGCTGAGCTCAGTTCTGGTTGACGTTGTGACTGCGTGGCCTTCTCTTGGCCTTGTGCCTCAGTGGACTGCAGTCTGCAATTCGGTCTGACTCTGCTGTGAAACCCTGTTCTTAAAGCTAACTTGGCGCTCTACTGGCAACCCCGATTGCTGTTTTAAAAGCAGAGGATCAGCATAAAAAAAGAGAAGGAAATCATGAACTAGGTGAAAAAACACATTTTTCTTCATATTCTCAAAATGAGAGGGAAGCAGAAGTCTGTGGCTAAGGGTGGAGACCCTGCGTCTGTGAACAGAGGCCACTGCCCACCACTGCCCCCAAGCAGGTGGAGGGAGGCACAGTTCTGAATGCCTTTGGCCCCTCACAAGGAAGGTGGCACACACACCGGACCCCCTCTGGCCTTCTGTTAACCTGCACCAAGTCCTGACTGTCCGCGGAGCTGCCGCGCCCACCTTGATGGCTGCTGCGTTACACCAGAGGCAGGACCAGGACCTGACTCCTCCAGGCTCCACTGCCCATCAGTGCCTGCTGCCTGCTCAGTGAATGGTCACCATGGAAACGGCGCTCAGGCCTACCCACCCCCACCACCACGCCTTGGTCATTGTTCCTTCCATGAGTGAGTGCTGCCCAGCAAGACAAAGTACAGGCTCCAGTGGGAAGGCCACCATGTCAGCCAAGTCCCTTCCCGAAGGAGGTGCCCGCATGCTTATTCAGTGTCACTGTCCACTCCTTGGCAGTGACTCGGGTGGAGGCGAAACATGACTAATCGTAAATCACCCCTGCCTTCTCCCAAGTGCCACACGGTTTGTTGACACGGTGTGCGCCTGGGGCGTTCACAGTGCTTAGAATCGCAGAGGTTGCCGTTTCTGTACATTTCATGCAGAGCAATTAAATAGGGCACTGCATTTTTCTTCAAGTTAATTTTTATTTATTAAAGTAAAACATAATGTACCTTAGAAGCTAGACAGTCCTACAAGCTTATTATGTTGTACAGCGGCGTTCCGTCCCCCTCCCCAGCCCTCTCTTTCTAGAGGCAGCCAATTTCAGCTGCCTCTCTCTGCTTACCTACGTATTTCCATGTTTCTTGGTTCATCATCTGAACGTCATCAGCTGTGCTCCTCTTACGGAAGAGGGGACCTGGCTCCCTTCCACCCCGACATTGCCCACCCCTCCTCCTCCTCAGTTATACCAGCCATGCTTCTGCCCTTCACTTTCCAGCCAAGAAACAAACTTTAATTATGCACCCTCAATAGATACATCTTGTTTTTTCCCGGGTAAGTAAACATCTCTTTTCCTCTTTTTCACATTTCCGACAAAGTTCTTCCTTCCCTGCACCGTGGTCGCCATCCTGCCCTGCCCCACCCCTTTCACGCCATCAGCCTCACTCCGCCCACTGCGCGGCTTGGCCCCAGAGCACCTGTCACCACGGTGCTGGGAGTCCCCCTCCTCTCTTGCCTGCGACACAGCCCTAGCAGTCTAGACCCCTGTTTACCACTCCTGTGGTGGAAACTGGCTCCTAGCAGCTTCCTGAGTTAGGGGAGGTGGGTTCTGCAAGCTTACAAGTGCGTGATGGCTGGATTCTGCTCTCGCCTGAGGCAATGTGGACGTGGAAACACCTTCTCTTCAGAACCCCCGTCTTCCAGCCTCCATTGCTGTCACTGACACGTTCACAGACATTCTGACCCCAGCCCTTGCTTTCTGACCTTCTCTTTTTTCTCTTAGATCTCCAGGTTCCCTTCCTTACCCCGGGAGCCTTTCTTCATCCACCGTCCTGGGGCACCTGGTGGCACCTTCAGTCTGGAAACACCTGCCCTTCACTTTAGGGGAATTGGGCCCCTGTTCGTTTGATAAGTTTTCCTACCATTTTCTGATTTGTTTTTTCTTTCTGGAAAATGTATTAGTCAGATGTAGGCTTTTCTGGATTAATCCTTCAACTTTCCTTTCTTTCTTTCCCTTCCTGCCTGTCTCCCTGTTCTTTCTTACACTTTCTCAGGGAGATTCTTGACTGTATTTTCCAACTTTGTATCGACCATTTTACTTTTCCTGCCATATTTTCAATGTTTACTGATGTTTCTCTGCCCTTTCAGTGCATCCTGTTTTATTTCATGTTAGACTGAATCATGTGAAATTGATAACAGGTTTTCAGCCACACACACACAAAAAAAAAAAAAAGAGTGTGTCCTGAGGTTCAGCTTAGTCTTCTGTTGGCTCTCTGGGGGGAGGTTCAACTTAGTCTTCTGTTGGCTCTCTGTGGGTGCTGTGAGCTCTGGGAATGTTCTTCTCCTCCAGGCTCCCTCCTGCCAGCTTGCTTGCTTTCACGTTGGGGTGTTCCCCAGACACAGGGCAGACCTAGGTTGCCCCTTCATCACTTCCCATGGAAGAAGGGGCCCTGCATAGTGGTTTGAAGTCTCTCTGTGGGGACAGTGTGCTGGCTGCTGGTCTCCAGGCAGTGGGACCCTGCGGAACCTGCAGGAGGAGACTCCTTCAGTGCCCAGGGGAGCCTGGGTCCAGCTGCCAACATCCTTGCCATGGCATGGAAGCTTGGTGGAAGCTGGTGTCTTTCCCCAGATCCCCTGTCGCCTGTTAGGTGAGCATCCCTGTCCTGCACTGGGCTTAGTGTCCCCACGGGTTAAGCTGCGCTGTCCTGCACGGGGGCATCAGGAGGAGTCTCTTTATCAGTGAGGATGAGAAAAGAGACCTGGGATCCGAGGTGCGGCAGAGGGAATGTAGCTAACAGTTTGTGATAAAAGACTCAACCCATGCACCTTTTTTCTCTTGCTGACCCCCTTCCGTTCCCACTGCGTTCCTCCTTCCTTGCCTTCCCCTCCCCTGTCTCTTGGGCTCCGCTGGGCCTCGCTCTGCTCCAGGTGTCCCTGTGCTGTCTCCCTCTGAGGATGCTCAGTGGAGCAGGGAACACTGGAGGCTGTGTTAGCTGTCAGCCCTTCTGTGTCCATCTTCCAAAACTACGTGCCCTTCGGTGGGAGGATTTATCATCTTTAGAAGTCAGTGATGGCGCAGTTCATGTTGCTTGGGGGTGTGGAGATAACACATGAGTAGCCGACCATGTTTACCTGGAAGTTCTGAGAATTAAAAAAAAAAACATACAATTGCTCCTGGGATTATAAAATAGTAAGTGCACTTTGTGAACACTTGAAAAAAACAAGTGCCTAGGGCATGAAAGACCCTGGTTATCTTACCTCTCAGAGTTGAATATGTCAGTTCATAGGTTGGTGGAAATTCTTCATGCTTTTTCCCATGCATCTACCAAAACAGGCCATCCTACATGTGTATCAGAATTCATTTCAGTCCCTCTTGGTAAAATGCACCAGATGCTACAAAACACATTCTTAAACAGCAGTCCTTGGGCATTTAGGGGGATACGTTATTTGTTTTCATCATTTAAAAACACATCTTGACATAATTTCAGACTTTGAGAAAGTTGCAGAAATAGTACAAAGAATTCAGACATTTTAGTACATGTGGTTCATCATGCACCCGTGTTTTTACACACACACATGCACACACACATATATGCACACACACATGCATAATTTTTCTGAACCACTTAAGAGTAAGATGCACACATGCTGCCCCTTTCCTCGTAACTATTCAGCATGTACTTCCTAAAAACAAGGAGTTCCATGACAGACCACAGTGCATGATCAGAATCAGAAAGTGAGCATTGAAAGAATATTAGTATCTACAATTCTTATTCAAATTTTACCCAGTTACATTTTTATAGCATAAGAATATCTAAGATTGTGCATTGAATTCAGATTTCCTTACGTGTACTCAAGAAAATAATGGGAGTGTTGGATGAAAAGAATGAACATTGCAATGTCAACACACATTTTTAGGATGGTTCTGGGAAAAGGCTGTGCCAGCTCTGCCTTCCCAGTACGGAGGCGTACAGGTGGAGTATCCTTATCTGAAGTACTTGGGACCAGAAGTGGTTATGTCTTTTTATTTTTTCAGATTGTGGGATATTTGCATTACACTGGTTGAGCATCTCAAATCCCAATTCTGAAATGCCCCAGTGAGCATTTCCTTTGAGTGTCAGCACTCAAAAAGTTACAAATTCTGGAGATTTTGGATTTCAGGTTTTCAGATTTGGAAGGCTCAACCTATACTAGGCCTTGTACCCGCTCCCAATCTGATAGGCCAGGATGAGGTAGTGTAGTTCCATATGTGTTCCTTTCATTGTGAGTGAGGTGTTGAGCCCCATTCTCTGTGGCTGCTAGTTATGTGCTGGGATTTTCTCTAAACAGCACCATGTGTGTCCATTTGCCTGATTTCAGGAGCAGCCCTGGGCCCCCTGCTGGCTGGGCTCCTCTCCCCGTCCGGCTGGAGCAATGTGTTTTACATGCTGATGTTTGCAGATGCCTGTGCCTTACTGGTAAGTCGGCCTATTTTTAGTCCAATCCACCTTGAATGCAGATCTCTGTGGTTGTGTCCAAACACTGGTGGAACTTTCTCCCATGCATTCCTGAGTTATCAGAGAGGTTTGGGTCTTCCCATCTTTTCTAAATATGCGTGGTCTAAAGCTCCTTCTCTCTCTGATTAGAAAAAGTCAGAAACAGAAGCAGGACAGTCTTGCTCTGCAGCCTTGGGCGGGATAGCACAAAGGCCAGGAGCGTGGAGCTCCGTGGCTCTAGATCCTGCCTGTCACCTGTCATGTGTGTGACTTGGGCAGGTTTCGTAACCTCTGCTCCACAGTTTCCACAGCTTTAAAATGGGCATGATAATGGCACCCAGTGACAAGATTGTTGTGGGAATTAAAGCAGATGATACACAGAGCCTGGCCTCCCAGTGGTCATCAGTGTCCTGGTGTCCCTCCTGCAGCCATGCTGTCAGACGGCGGGAGCGGCCCCAACTTCTTTCACCTGAAGGGATGGGAGAGAATAAAGGAGCAAAGAGGTTGCCAGTGCAGACACTGAGTCGCCTTCTGGCTTCTGCCCCCTTTTCTCTGGGCTCCTGCTTCTGTGCCCTCCTGTGTTGAGAAAGTTTGAGGTTTTCCCCTGGGTAAGGAAGACCAGTGATGATGTCACAGTCACATAGATGTGCAGCTGTGAGGGGTGCATACACATCTTTACAAGTCACCTGGCCACAAAGTCCCCAGACCCACAGCCATGCCTCTCCTCTCACTTCACCAGACAAAACCTTAGGCTGATCCCAATAAAAATGAGTTGAGAATTTCAGAAATATCAACTCACTCAATTAAATGAAAGTCTTATATTTTAATTCCAGGAAATTCTAAAACTCAACTTCCCCACCACATACAAAATCAAATACCGACTCTCAACCTATGAACTTACTAGGTTTAAATGGCTGTTCTTTGGATCATCTGTGGGTTCTTTTAATGCCTGAATGTTCTAATGAAGCCTCCAGATGGATTTCCACTAAGTAGCAGTAAAATTCCTGTCATTACAACTGTTCAGAGAATCTGAAATATCTTCTTTAGAACTATCTGGTAATATATATTGAAAATTGTTTTGATGCTTAGCCAAACTCATAAGAAAGTAAAGGAACTCCCCAGGAGCCAGAATTGTAAAGGCAATATAAATACACAAGCTCAGGAATCAACGGGTTGGGGTGGTTGTGCCCACACTGGGTAAGAGACAAGGCGTTAGGCTGGCACAAGATGAAGATTTGGAACTGGAGACTTCGTCATAGAGCCAGGACCCTCGAAGAGCCATGCTTGCAGTGAAAGAGTATACTAGATGATATCTGCACACTGGCACAGGAAGACAATGGGAATCTGCCCATCTTAGCCAGATTAGGGGGAAGAAATCTCCCTTGAAAATTTTTAGCCATAGACCTCCCCACAGTCAGCTTTAATCTTTGAGCTTATATAAATATATTTTAAATGAGCAAAGTTGGTCCTTAGGCAGTAATACAGAAGCAAATAGGGACAAATCTCAACCCTGCAGCATAGGATTTCTGTAGCTAACACCCTACAAAAGATGAGCTCACAATCCAAAATAATGAAACATAAGGAAGCAATCCACATTGAATGACAGTAACAGACATAAAAAATGGTGGAATTGGACTCCCCCAAAACTGCAGATAAAAGAGTTATGTAAACTAAAAATAAATATATGCAATGTTACTAATGACATAAGAAAAAGGAACTGACCTCATGAAAAAAAGAACAAGACACTATTGAAAAGACAGAGCAGGCTTCAAAAACAACCAAACAGGAGTTATAGAAATGAAAAATGTGATCTTTAGCCTGGAAAAAGACTCAATGGATGGGTTAGAAAAGCAAATTAGATACCGCTGAAGAGAAGATTACTGAAGTGAAATATAGATATGAAGAAATTATCCAGAATTCAGCACAAAAAGAGAGATGGAAAATATTAGAGAGAAATTAAATATAAAATGGAGGACCAAATGAGATGGCCTAAAGTTATCTGAAAGTAATTCCAGAGGAAGATGATAGACTGGATTTGAAGCAATATTTTAAGACAAAATAGCTGAGAATTTTCCAGATACATGAAAGACAAACATTCTTAGATTCAGGAATCAAATGACTTAGAATTCTGTACCTAGATAAACTTGCACACAAGAGTAAGGGTGAAGTGAAAACATTTTTAACCAAAGATGCTCCCAGCAAAAATTGCTAAACAATGTATTTAGAGAAGGAAGATAGATCCAGAAGGAAAGTCTGAGATGCAAGGAGAAATGCAAGCAAAAAAAAAGTGATATTCCTAAGGATGAATCTAAAGGAGTATTGACCATATAAAATAGGGGCCAGCTAACTGTGGCCTATTTTTGTGTGATCCTCCAGCTGGGAATGGTTTATATTTTTAAATATGTCTTTAAAAAATCAACAAAAGAATGTGCAACAGAAACCATATGGCTGCAAAGCCTGAAATATTTACTATCTAGACCTTTACAGAAAAAGCTTTCTGACTCTCAGTTTAAAACAACAGCAATAATGACTAATTTGGGCAATATAAAAAAGAACTGAAATACTGAAAATGTAAGGTACAAGTGGGACAATGAGAGTTCCAGTACACTGCAGTTCTTATGTTGTCAAGCCAATAGCAATAGAATGTGTAACCTTCAAGGCAATACAGGGAAATGAAGACTTAATCTAAGAGAACCTAGGGTCAGGGGAAGCATAGAAAAAAACAGGGTAAATACAGAAATACAGAGCAACATGGATGAAAATGATCCCAGCATGCCAGCAACACAGTGACAATAAATGGACTTAAACTCATCAGTTAGGAGCAGAGATTGTCAGGTTGCTTTTAAAAATACAGGCACTGGTTATTTACAAGAAACACACCTGCTACACTGGAATTCCGAAAAGACAAAAGTAAAAGAATGGGAAACTACACGACAGGTAAATAATAACCAGAGGAAGCCGGATTTGCTGCGTTGGAAGAAAGAGACCTAAAGCTGAAGCACTTGGGAGACGGGGGCTTGTCGCAGTGGAGAAGGAACTATACCAGGATGTGCAGCAGGTCCGTGAGCTTGAGTTGGGCTTTTCAAACCTAAGAACTAGACATACCTTTTTCTCTTCACTGATCAACATGCTTTTTGGTATCTTTTCACCAAAATAGACAAGTGTTTCCTCCCGAGTCTGGAGCTGAGAACCTCCATGATCTGAGCAGGTGTCCTGGGGGGCCAGAGGGCACCATGCTTCCTGCCTCACAACACACACTGATGGCCAGCTCCAGGGCCTGCAGGACTGCCTGGCGCACGACCGAAGGCCTCAGGTCTCCAGTGCGTGTCGCCTGGGCTCCTGGAGTTGGTAGGGCCCCTCCTTGTTGGTCATTCTTGCATGCGTGAGCCAAACACGTGGGCATGTTTTGAAATTGGATCTCTGTTCTTCAGAACTGTCACCATTTACAGTTCATCCCGTACCCACAGATAACACTTGCTACTATATTCTTCATCTTTTTCTCTCTTAATGATCAGCTTTTCATAATCATAGGCCTCTTCGGGCTAGCACTTTTCATACATCACACTTGGCAGGATGTAGATGTGGGTAAGGTACCAGCTCAAACACAATAAGCCTGTGCCGGTAGTTGGAGCTAGAGGTTCAGATTCACACAGATGGATTTATTTAACAAAAATCTTGCTATTGTCACCAGCACTATTGTTCGTACCTGCCGTGTTCCCACGACCTTTACCACCTAATTGTCGCAAACACCTTTCATGCACCAAGCAGAGCAGCTGGATGCATCTTATCTGTAGGAGGGGCCCCTGTTCTCTCCAGCTTGAACTCACCTCATACAAGGGACTCCTAAGCTCCTACTTGAACCACAAGCACCTAAGAAAATAGAAGAGTTTCTGCCTTCTAGAGCTCTGGCCTGAGGCTTGGTGGTGGGGCCATGTGTTTGGTTTTTAAGTAGCCCCTCGAGACCCTCCAGCACCCCTTCCCTGCCTCCCCTGGACCAGTGATCCACCCTGGGTCTGAGGGCATCTGCTGCCCTCTAAGAACGAGGGGCCACGTCCAGGGAGAGCCCTCCTGTGGGCTGATGTCCCACTTGGGGAGAGACTGGATCCACACTGGAAAATGCACTAGTTAAATTGGAGGTAGCACAATCATTTGTCTGGATTTGTAGGCTGGCGTTGAGCCCTCAAACATGTGAAGGGCACGGAGTTAAAGCTCTGGGTCCGGCGAGGAGCCAAGGCTGAGGCAGTGATGTTGGTGGAAAGCCCTGGGCCCCGGCCAGGCCTGGCCTCCAAGGGGCTCCCAGTGGGGTGCGGCTGTCCTGTGACAGCCTCTTCAGACCCCAGGGCTGGCGCCAGAGGAAGTGCTCACCTGGCTTTAGAGTCACCTGAGAAGCTCGCAGGTCCACCCACTGGGCCACCCGCATTATGGTCCTCTTGTCTTTATTTCCTTTTTCCCACTGTGGACATTTCATGATTGGATTAATTTTAGTCTAAACGTGACTTGAACCCAGAAGTAGTTCAGGCTGCATCTCTCCCAAAAGCCTTGTTTTCAGGGCAGCTCCTGGTTCTTCGTGGGCCTTCATCAGACAGCCCTGCCCTCATCAGACAGCCCTGCCCACAGGAGCCCAGGCCTCCGGCTGAGCATGCAAGCCCCGCTGCTCTTGCAGGGAGGCCACCCCAGGGAAGGTGCTGTGGGGAGAGAGCCACCCGCCCAGGCCTTGCGGGCCAGGTCCTCATGGTGCCCACGGCGCGGGCCGCCCTGTGCCTGCTCCAGTAACAGGTGGGCTCACCTTTGTTTTGGTGCAGTTCCTGATCCGCCTCATACACAAGGAGCTGAGCTGCCCAGGGTCAGCTACGGGGGACCAAGTTCCGTAAGTCCCACTCGGGCCCTGTCTCCGTGCGTGAAAGCCGGCTCCAAAGTGCCTTCTGTCCTATCTGCCTTCTGCACCTGGCTTTCCTGAAAGAAAGAAAACGCGTGGCTTATCTTTTCACGGCACGCCACCTTCACTCTCACTTTTTCTTTTCTAATAAATACCTCTGGATGGGTTAGTGGTAATCTCTCCTCAAACCCTGAGTGGAAAATGTGAGGGAATTGCCGTCTTTGGCATTCTGTTGGAGCTGCAGCCCCCCGAGCTCTCCTTGCCTTCCTGCTCGCCCCCTTCTCCCTCCCTCCTCTTTTCCCTCCCCCCTTGGTCCTCCCTCGCTCCCTTCTCACTTCTTCCTGGCCCCCAGAAGGCTGCGGGAAAGGTGCAAGGGTTTATCCAGCATCCAGCACCCCTGCAGGAGAGGAATCCCTGCTGGGCCGGGAGGGCAGCTGGCTCCCCATAGGATTTGCACATGGTGTGTGAAGTTCAGCATCTCTTGCTGAGCCACTGCTGGCTGTTAGAGCAGCTCTTCTTTCAACCTTTCTTTCAGATTTAAGGAACAGTGACACCCCACCCCAGTCCCGTGGAGGGGGTCTGGGCCCACCCTTCACAACTGCCTTTCAAGGACAGTTCAGACAAAGGGCCCTGCATGGAAAGAGTGACCTCCCTTTGCCTTTTGCACACGCACCTGGAAAAGACACAGAAGCCAACCTGAGAACCCCTGGTGCTATTTTAAAGGAGACATATTGCTGAACAGCAGTGAGAAAAGTCTGCAGGAACTGCTGCCTGAGCCAAGCCAGAGAACCGAAGACCCGGCCGGCCCTGGCCTCACAGGCGTGTGCCCATGCAGCCACCCAAATGCACGCGTGACAACAAGGCCGGGAGGGTGGGGGGGGTGCACAGGTAGCCCCGACCCTCTCAGGCATTCCAGCCACAGAACATCAAAGTGAGCGAGTACTGCGCTGGCTGTGGCTTCAGAGAACCTGTATGTGCCACATGGAAAAACAGGACACCAGAGCCCACCAGACAGTGCCGGCCAGCAGAGAAGCAGAGAGCCAGCGCCACACAACATCAAGAAGGCCGACAACCAGGTTGGAAACCAAGACGGAGCTCAGACCCACCACATCGCCCCAGAGGCTTTTCCAGCACCCATGATGTTTCGGACTGACCTAAAAACTAATTGTCGAGAAGCCAAGGGTGAGGAGGCAGGAAGCACCTCCGGTTGGAGGCACCCAGGCTTGCCAGCCACAGAGCGCCCCAAAGTCACCGTCATCCCAGCCCCTGGCCTTCCTGCTGCCCTCCGGGGCCATGGCACTGCTGTTCAGCTCAGGCACAGGGGCACAGCAGAGGTTTGGGAAGCGGTCTCCCCACCGGCACTGGGATTGGCGGGTCCAAGCCCAGCAACCGGCTTCGCTCCACAACACACACCACACCTGGGACTGTTTTTAATACATAGCAACAGACTGGGTTATTTATTTAAGATGTGTATTGTGTCATATGAAGTTTAAGAGACATAAATGGCATTTTGTTATTTATTAAGACAAACTCCAATTGTTCTCTGGCTGTTTTTTTCAGTTGTGTCTAGCAAAATACTTATCTGCCCTTTGAAATAAAATGTTTTTGTTTAAAAAATCTCAGAACACTCAGAGAATGTTGATGATTTCTGCTTACATTTCCATTACGCTAAAAAAGGGAACTTCCAAATCGTGTTGTGTGTTTTGGGTTTTCTCAGGCTTGGACACATTGAGGTTTCTCGGGTTTGGACACATACTGGGAAAAGACCATTTCCAGCAGAAAAGGGGCCTACCTCTCGGTCCCTTGTTTGCACAGAAGGCCAAGCTGAAGTAAACAGCCATCTGGGTATTTTATAAATCACGCAGTTTAAAGAATATCCTAAGATTTGTCCTTGACGAGGAGGTGTCACACCCCGTGGTGGTGGGGAAAGGTGCTGACCTTGGGAACTACATGGTGGGGTCCAGGCTTTCAAACGTCCTCAGAATGCTGACCGTCCAGATGTGCATGGTGCGGGCTTTCTCTGGATGGAGTGCTGTGGAAGTTCACTTGGGGACCTCTCACAGCAGCAGGGCAAAGGTCAGAAACAACACACTGTGTGTCCCGCAGTTCTCAGGGGCCTCCTGCTTGAGCTCTGCGGAGAAGCCCACAGGAGGAACAGACCTGGCTGTGGCGGCTTCTGTGTGCCAGCTGCCCCACTAGATTGGCTCACTCTCTTTTTAATGGCAAGTTATTTATACATTTAAAAGATTTCTGCTAAAAAAGAACTTCCCTAAACACCAAATGGATGGAGTGTGTTTCCCACACACGCAGCGCACTCAGCTTGTGCTGGCCTTTCCCGGTCCTCCACCCAATGCTTCCCGCTCCTGGGAGCCTCCCACTTTCCCTCTCTCCCTGACCTGGCTCCAGGCACCAGTCCAGCCCTCTCCCGCTGGTGTCACAGTGGCCTGGGCTGCCCTGAGCCCCTGCCGGCTGCCATCCCTGAGGACGGGCACCAGCCCCGTGCTCACCACAGGGCACCTCTTCCCTCTGGGTGTGCAGCACTCGTATCCATGGGGTGAACAAGCGAGGGATGACGCAGATGGCACAGTATCATTACAGGATGCACAGAGGGCTTTTTCCATAAACAAAATTCTTTGCATTCACTGCCCCCTGCCTCTCCAGAACTGTCCCCTCTGAGGCCTCATCTAGTCAGAGGCCCAGGGCTGGTGGGCCGGAGCGGACCTTCCTCACCCCATAGCCACCAGCCAGCATTCAGCACAGCAGCTTTGAGGTGGCGATCGCTATTTCCCCAACTCAATGAACTAAAGTACTAGAAGAAAATCTCCCACAACTCACAAAGGAAGAGCAACTTCCCATTTCTGAACCCTCTGAGCTAAACCCTGAGAACTTTTGGAAATGGAGAGTCGATCCTTTTTTTAAAATGAAGAGTATACACACAGCTATTTTTTTAAAGCAATTTAGCGGAAATTCACCTTGATTCATGGATGGAAGATTTCATTATGACTTTTAAGGAAAAAAGTACATGATTTCAATATAAAAATACATCTTCATTTGAGCATAGCTGAGGTATTTTCCATCTGCAAACAGCCAGCTCTGAGACACACACACTTGCCGTCCTGTGGAAGCGTGGCTCTGCCTGTCACGCACGTCTGCGCTTGCCGTCCTGTGGAAGCGTGGCTCTGCCTGTCACGCACGTCTGCGCTTGCCGTCCTGTGGAAGCGTGGCTCTGCCTGTCACGCACGTGTGCGCTTAGTGCACATCACTAAGACTCTCCTATTCATGTTGACAAAAAAATGCCGGATCATGGAAACACAAGCTGGTGACAGGGCCAACAAAAGAGCTCAAGGTGGGACTCCAGCTCTCCAGCCTGTCTGTAGGTAGGAAAAACTACTCCTGGAAGCTCACCTCAGTGAATGCACCTCAGAGTCCAAGAGCTGCCGCGAATACAGGGCCTGGTGGCTGCTATACTGTGCGTCTCAGAGCAGAGCCAGCTCTCCCATCGCCAGCTTGTAAAATCCAAGAAAACGAAATTGCTTGATAAACTACGAGCTGAAAAAAAATGAGCCCTGATTTATTATTATTCAATTCAACAGACATAAAAACCACTCTGCTAAATGGCCACAGGACCACTCCAGTCTTGACTCAGCAGAGCACAGCTGGGCCAGGTGAGAAGCAGGTGTGAGGGCACTGTGTCCCTTGCAGGCTGTGCCCACAAGGCACCCAGGCTGTCCCCCACAGGGCTCCGATGCGCCAGGTCACCTCCATTCCCAAGGCTCCGCATTGACCCACAGTCTCTGCACAGGACACCCCAGGTCCCTGGAGGGCAGTAGAAGAGGCTGTAGCACTGGCTGCCAAGGCAGGGGCAGCTGCCAGGCCCACCAGAGACCACGGGCAGTAGGCAGGTCACTTCCCAGGGTGGGGGGGGGGCTGAGGTGGGAGCACAACCTAGGCCCCTCCTGGGGAGGTGGTGGAGTCAGAATCACGTAAGAGCCAAAGTTCCAGTCCCTCAGTGCCGGCTCCATTGTCCCCTGGACTTCCCTTACAAACCACAGATGCAAAGAGAGCACTTCTCAGAATCTCCACACAGCCACGGTGGAGCACTCAACCCACGCGACCCTCGGGCGCAGGTGCTGGGTGACTGCCCTGGCCATGTGCCCTGTGGCCCGCAGAATGACACCTCATCCAGGATGGAAGCGGGAACCAAAAGCCTGGCTGAGAGACCCCAGGGGCCTGAGTCGGGAGGAGCGATGGTTCATTTGGAACCCAGTGGTGCCCTTCACTGAGTTTGGGTTAACTGTCATCACTTCCCTGTCCCGTGCGTTCCAACGTGCCCTGCCCCTGAGAACAGATCCAAGGGACTCTGAAGAACGCAGTCCTGAGCTGCTTGCTCATTCTGAAGCCAGCTCTTGTTGCTGGCCCCCTCCAAGGGGGCCTGTGAGCTCCAGACATGGGGATAATGTGGGGTCTGGGCCACCCGTAGTGGTGGCCAAGTGCAGCATGTTCCCCGCCACACCCCTTGGGAGCTGGAATTTAACTCCAGCTGCTGAACACAGGCAGTGTTTCTGGCACCCAGGGCCTCACCCTCCCAGGAGAGTCCATCATTGCTGAGCCAGTCGCAGGTCACCATGAAGCATCGCCCTGGGCAGCAAGTGGGATGCAGGGGCACAGCAGGGCACGTCCCAGGCGGCTGAGAAAGTCCACGGAGGGCAAGGGCAGGGGCGTGCGCCATCGTCGGAGACAGTCGGGGTGGGCAGCACCCTGGACTGCTGGGAAGGACAGTGGGGGGAGGGTGGAAGGCAGGGGAGCCCTTGCCAGTTGAGAATTTCTTGATCCTTGGAATTGGTCCCCAACATCCTCTGGGACACGCTTAACAATGGTCAGGTCTGGTAACTGAAAGAAGCAATTGAGGTAAATATCTCAATCAACCGAGGTTTATTCTGCCAGCGTTAGGGCATGTCCAGGAAAACACAAGCCACAGACACATCTGTGGCTGTTTTTCTAAAGAGGCTTACAAGAGGTTTGGTATTTAGACATTGAGGTGAGGTGAATGGTGACATTCTTGTGAGACTTCAGTTAGCACCCAGTAAATCTGCATTTCACATAAGGTAAATATTTGAAGAAGAAAAGGGAGCAAAGGAGGAATCCATTTTGCAGACTTCTCTGGGTAGGTGGAGGAACACTTGATCTCGTCTTGTCTTTGGCCTGCCCCTGGGAGGACAAGCTTGTAAAGGACATTATCAGCATAGAATGGAACAGACTCTCATTTTAGGAGCTGGACTTACATTGCACACCTAAATTTATGATTGGCATGTCCTTGTTTATGGGAGGCCAGCAAAGAATGTACTGATGAAAGATCTGTGGGAGCACTTGCAGACGGCTGTGGCCTCCACCTTTCTGTGGGGACCTGGCTGATGTATCCTATTCATGACAGCTGTCCATACGGATGCAGCGTTGCATGATTCTCACTCCAGGCTTAATCTTCCCTTTGGCATAAGAAGTTTGGGCATCCTGTGATTTTTACGCCCACAGCCACTTTTTTTTTTTTTTTTTTTTGAGACGGAGTCTCGCTCTGTCACCAGGCTGGAGTGAAGTGGCGCCATCTCAGCTCACTGCAACCTCTGCCTCCTGGGTTCAAGCAGTTCTCATCCCTCAGCCTCCCAAGTGGCTGGGATTACAGGCACGAGCCACCACGCCCAGCTAATTTTTGTATTTTTAGTAGAGACAGGGTTTCACCATGTTGGCCAGGCTGGTCTCAAACTCCTGATCTCATGATCCGACCACCTCGACCTCCCAAAGTGCTGGGATTACAGGCGTCAGCCACCAAGCCCAACCAGCCAGGCCAATTTTTGACCAAAACAGGATCGGTGAGTGGATGTCATGTGTCATTTGGGCCAACAGTGAACACGGACTTTGAAGGCATCTTGATCCAGAATATTCCATTCCCTTCTTCCTTGACTTGGTAATAACCAAGACGGTTCTGTCTCTCTTTGAAATTCTAAAATGAGGCAGGCATTGGACATTCTGTTACTGTTAAAATCCACACCCTGCCTGCCTCTAAAAGGAACTTGGAGTGGAGATGCAGAAAAATGGCAGGTGCGTTTAAGGAGTCCCTGCACCCCACGACGAAGTGACAGCCACACCCAGACATCCTGGAGCCCAAAAGGAGGAGCTAGTGGCTCTGGAGGGGCAGCCTCTCCGGGTCTCAAGGGCTATTATTATTATTTTTTTTTTTTTTTTGGAACTGAGGTGACATTTACATAACATGCAAATAATCATTTCAAAGCATACGGTCGGTGGCGTCTGGCGCATTCACAGTGCTGTGCAGCCACCAGCTCTCTCAAGGTCAACACGTCTCATCACCCCAGAAGATCACTAGAACCTGGTAAGCGATAGCTCCCCTTCCCCTCCCATTTAAAATGAGAGTTTTCAAGGAGATTGGGTCCAGGGTGGCTGTGAGCACTAAAATTCTGGAGCAAGGTGAAAAATAGACCCCACTTCTCCTTCCATGCTAAGCCACTGATTCATTAAAGAAACACAGGGAAGGAGCCTATACTCAAAATTAGCATCTCCAGTGGAAACATGGCTTGAGAATTATGCGTCCTTACGGACCAGAGACCAGGCCTCCAAGAATTCTCCCAGGAAACAAATGTCCAGCAGGACCATGGCTGGGCTGTCACGTCCAGAAGCCACCAGGCCACAGCAGGGGCCCCGGCAGGCAGGCCACCGTCGGAAGCCGGCAGGCCACCGTCGGAAGCCACCAGACCACAGCAGGGGCCCCGGCAGGCAGGCCACGGTCCAGAAGCCACCAGGCCACAGCAGGGGCCCCGGCAGACAGGCCACGGTCCAGAAGCCACCAGGCCACAGCAGGGGCCCTGGCAGGCAGGCCACGGTCCGGAAGCCACCAGGCCACAGGAGGGGCCCCGGCAGGCAGGCCACGGTCGGAAGCCACCAGGCCACAGCAGGGGCCCCCGGCAGGCAGGCCATGGTTGGGGCTGCTTTGGCCTCTCTTTCCCTTTTGCACCAGCTTTCAATAAGGCTTTCTTCTTCCACGTCCCCACGACCCCTTGATCGTCCACCTGCTATTGGCAGCGAAGCCTTGAGGCTCTCATGGTGTGTCCCCACATGTCCGCAGACGGGAAGGAGTCACCCCAGCCTCCTGGGGCAGCAGGATGCAGCATATCTGACTCTCATCACACTTTCTGTATCTCAGCAAGTTACCAACATTTCTTTGTATTTACTTCTGGTAAGAACAAAAACCTTAGCTGGGGCCTTGGCTGCCCTTGGAGCTGCTGGGAAAGTTACATGAGTAGAAGGGTTGGGTTAAAGCATGGAAACACCTCTGTCTACACCAGCTCACGATAAGCCTGAAGAGGAGTTTGGAGTCCCTCAGACGCTTTCGGCACCACTTAGTCAGCGGGGGGAATAATAGCTTTCCGGGAAATAGGCCCGAGACGCGGGAAGGGAAGGGAAGGGAACCCCGTGGGAAAGACCTTACTCATTCTGCCCCTTGCAGTCAGCACCTGAGGAGAAGCAGCGGGGAAAAGAAGTGCCAAGCTCGCCGCGTTGACCAGTGTCAGGGCCGAGTAGCCACAGGACAGAACTGAGAAGCGAGTACCAACATCAAGCCTGCCGCGCCATTTATATCCACGCATGCGTTTCCCCTTACCTGCACCGAGCCTCCCGCCCCGTTTACATCCACGCAGGCGTTTCCCCTTACCTGCACCGAGCCTCCATTCCCGTTTATATCCACGCAGGCGTTTCCCCTTACCTGCACCGAGCCTCCCGCCCCGTTTACATCCACGCAGGCGTTTCCCCTTACCTGCACCGAGCCTCCCGCCCCGTTTACATCCACGCAGGCGTTTCCCCTTACCTGCACCGAGCCTCCCGCCCCGTTTACATCCACGCAGGCGTTTCCCCTTACCTGCACCGAGCCTCCCGCCCCGTTTACATCCACGCAGGCGTTTCCCCTTACCTGCACCGAGCCTCCCGCCCCGTTTACATCCACGCAGGCGTTTCCCCTTACCTACACCGAGCCTCCCGCCCCGTTTACATCCACGCAGGCGTTTCCCCTTACCTGCACCGAGCCTCCCGCCCCGTTTACATCCACGCAGGCGTTTCCCCTTACCTGCACCGAGCCTCCCGCCCCGTTTACATCCACGCAGGCGTTTCCCCTTACCTGCACCGAGCCTGCCGCCCCGTTTACATCCACGCAGGCGTTTCCCCTTACCTGCACCGAGCCTGCCGCCCCGTTTACATCCACGCAGGCGTTTCCCCTTACCTGCACCGAGCCTCCCGCCCCGTTTATATCCACGCAGGCGTTTCCCCTTACCTGCACCGAGCCTCCATTCCCGTTTACATCCACGCAGGCGTTTCCCCTTACCTGCACCGAGCCTCCCGCCCCGTTTACATCCACGCAGGCGTTTCCCCTTACCTGCACCGAGCCTGCCGCCCCGTTTACATCCACGCAGGCGTTTCCCCTTACCTGCACCGAGCCTCCCGCCCCGTTTATATCCACGCAGGCGTTTCCCCTTACCTGCACCGAGCCTCCATTCCCGTTTACATCCACGCAGGCGTTTCCCCTTACCTGCACCGAGCCTCCCGCCCCGTTTACATCCACGCAGGCGTTTCCCCTTACCTGCACCGAGCCTCCATTCCCGTTTACATCCACGCAGGCGTTTCCCCTTACCTGCACCGAGCCTCCATTCCCGTTTATATCCATGCAGGCGTTTCCCCTTACCTGCACCGAGCCTCCCGCCCCGTTTACATCCACGCAGGCGTTTCCCCTTACCTGCACCGAGCCTCCCGCCCCGTTTACATCCACGCAGGCGTTTCCCCTTACCTGCACCGAGCCTCCCGCCCGGTTTACATCCACGCAGGCGTTTCCCCTTACCTGCACCGAGCCTCCCGCCCCGTTTACATCCACGCAGGCGTTTCCCCTTACCTGCACCGAGCCTCCCGCCCCGTTTACATCCACGCAGGCGTTTCCCCTTACCTGCACCGAGCCTCCCGCCCCGTTTACATCCACGCAGGCGTTTCCCCTTACCTGCACCGAGCCTCCATTCCCGTTTATATCCACGCAGGCGTTTCCCCTTACCTGCACCGAGCCTGCCGCCCCGTTTACATCCACGCAGGCGTTGCCCCTTACCTGCACCGAGCCTGCCGCCCCGTTTACATCCACGCAGGCGTTTCCCCTTACCTGCACCGAGCCTCCATTCCCGTTTATATCCACGCAGGCGTTTCCCCTTACCTGCACCGAGCCTCCATTCCCGTTTATATCCACGCAGGCGTTTCCCCTTACCTGCACCGAGCCTCCCGCCCCGTTTACATCCACGCAGGCGTTTCCCCTTACCTGCACCGAGCCTCCATTCCCGTTTATATCCACGCAGGCGTTTCCCCTTACCTGCACCGAGCCTCCCGCCCCGTTTACATCCACGCAGGCGTTTCCCCTTACCTGCACCGAGCCTCCATTCCCGTTTATATCCACGCAGGCGTTTCCCCTTACCTGCACCGGGCCTGCCGCCCCGTTTACATCCACGCAGGCGTTTCCCCTTACCTGCACCGAGCCTCCATTCCCGTTTATATCCACGCAGGCGTTTCCCCTTACCTGCACCGAGCCTCCATTCCCGTTTATATCCACGCAGGCGTTTCCCCTTACCTGCACCGAGCCTCCCGCCCCGTTTACATCCACGCAGGCGTTTCCCCTTACCTGCACCGAGCCTCCATTCCCGTTTATATCCACGCAGGCGTTTCCCCTTACCTGCACCGAGCCTCCCGCCCCGTTTACATCCACGCAGGCGTTTCCCCTTACCTGCACCGAGCCTCCATTCCCGTTTATATCCACGCAGGCGTTTCCCCTTACCTGCACCGAGCCTCCCGCCCCGTTTACATCCACGCAGGCGTTTCCCCTTACCTGCACCGAGCCTCCATTCCCGTTTATATCCACGCAGGCGTTTCCCCTTACCTGCACCGAGCCTCCATTCCCGTTTATATCCACGCAGGCGTTTCCCCTTACCTGCACCGAGCCTCCATTCCCGTTTATATCCACGCAGGCGTTTCCCCTTACCTGCACCGAGCCTCCCGCCCCGTTTACATCCACGCAGGCGTTTCCCCTTACCTGCACCGAGCCTCCATTCCCGTTTATATCCACGCAGGCGTTTCCCCTTACCTGCACCGAGCCTCCCGCCCCGTTTACATCCACGCAGGCGTTTCCCCTTACCTGCACCGAGCCTCCATTCCCGTTTATATCCACGCAGGCGTTTCCCCTTACCTGCACCGAGCCTCCCGCCCCGTTTACATCCACGCAGGCGTTTCCCCTTACCTGCACCGAGCCTCCATTCCCGTTTATATCCACGCAGGCGTTTCCCCTTACCTGCACCGAGCCTCCATTCCCGTTTATATCCACGCAGGCGTTTCCCCTTACCTGCACCGAGCCTCCATTCCCGTTTATATCCACGCAGGCGTTTCCCCTTACCTGCACCGAGCCTCCCGCCCCGTTTATATCCACGCAGGCGTTTCCCCTTACCTGCACCGGGCCTGCCGCCCCGTTTACATCCACGCATGCGTTTCCCCTTACCTGCACTGGGCCTGCCACCCTGTTTATATCTATGCCTGCGTTTTCCTCTTGCCTTTTCAATCCAGAGGCCTCACTAGCTTTGGCCTAGTCATCCTTTCTCCTTGTCTTCTCTTCAGGTATTTTATTGATGACTTCCTGATAGCACCAAATGGCTCCCCGAGGGCTCTGAGGCATTCACACGTGTGTGAGAGTGTGCAGGGATTCCCTGGAATTCAGAGGGACTGCCTTAGACTAATTTGACTGCTTTTGGGCAAAATAAGCTTATGGCCTGAAACTTGCCGATTATCCTGGCCCAGCCGTGCCTTGCCAAAGGTGTCTCTGGCCTGGCTAGCGGGTTGGGGCAGCAGCAGCAATCACCAGTGTGACCTGAGGGCGCCGTGTCACAAGCGCAGGGTACTTTGGTGGACACCTGAGAGGCAGGAATCCTGCTCAGGAGGATGAGGCTGCAGGACGCCCCCACAGCCTGTTGTGGTCAGACCCCGAGGATCCAGTGCCAGCTTGTGGTCCCCCTACTCGCTTACTGAGAACCCAGAGCCTGCCCCCAGGGCCCCGAGAGCCTTTACGCACAGTTTAATAACTAGCTGTGACTGCACACCCATGCAAGCGCTCTCCCGGGCAGGAAATCAAATGTCACCAGCACTCCGGAAACAGCCCTTATGAGGAAACGGCATTCTGGCCCCGGGGGTTTTAACTGACTTTACCTGGTGGGCCATGTGGATCCCCTCAGCCGCGCCTCTCCTCTTTACAGCCTTTGCCCACTGTCCTACTGGGCCGTTTGTCTCTTTCTAACTAATTTGTGTCAGTACCTTCTGAGCTCCGTTCATGTCTGTGAGGGTTAGTTTTCTGCGCCCTCTTGACCAGGCCTTAGGACCCAGTTATTCAAGTGAACACTACTTAGGATGTTGTCGTGAAGGCATTTTATAAATGTGCTTAACATCGCCAATCCATCAACTTTAACTAAAGGAGATTTATCCTCCATAACTTGGGTGGGCCTGGTTCAGTCAGTTGAAGGGTTTGAGAGCAAAACTGAGGCTTCCCCGAGGAAGGAGAAATCCCACCCGTGGACTCAGCCTCAGCTCTGGCCTGAGAGTTTCCAGCCTGACACCTGCCCTGGATTTCAGACTTGCCTAGCCAGCCCCCACAGTTACATAAGCCAGTTCCTTGAAGTGAATCTGTGTGTGCACATGTGCATGTGTGTGTGTGTGCATGTGTGTGTCCATGTGTGTGTCCGTGCATGAGTGTGCATGTGTGTATGCATGCATGTGTCCGTGTGTGCATCCATGTGTGCATGCACATGTGCATGTGTGTGCATGTGTGTGCACGTGTGCGTGTGTGTGCGTGTGTGTGCGTGCATGTGTGTGCACGTGTGCGTGTGTGTGCATGCATGTGTGTGCATGTGTGTGTGCGTGTGTGTGCACGTGTGCGTGTGATCTCCAACTGGTTCTGTTCCTCTGGCTGAACCTGGAGGATGCATCGTCTTTCTGCATTGTCTACCTGTTTTACAGGGACCTGCCTTATCTTTAAAATCAGAAGTAATTAAGTTCATTTTAAAAGTCAAGGCGAGTACCAAAAAGAATGTAAACACTCTATTCCAAGGCTGTTTCTTCCTGGGACAGTTGTATTTTTAACACATTTTCCCAAGAGTTGCTGCAGCCACTCTGTGTGAGCCCCGCATCCTACCACAGCCTTAGGGACAGCAAGGTCACCAGCTCTAGAAGCTCTGCCTTCAGAACGGCCCACTCTGCAGCCAGCCCCATGAAGACACCTCTTGGGTGCCTGGTGTTGTAAAATTTACCCAAATCCAGAGCCATGATTCCAAACCTGATGGTAGAAGAGCAGCATTCATTTGCTTGTTCATTCATTCAGCACACTCGTATTGCCAAGCCCTGAGAATAAGCGCAGGGATACGGTAATAAACCGGGAGAGCCAAATCGGCCCCATGGAGTCGAGTCTAGGGGAAGCAATAGACGACTAACAAAGGAACAGTAAACAGTCTGGGGCAGGAGCGGGGGGTGTATGATTGTGTATTGACGGTCGTCTTCGAGGATGGGATAAGGGTGTGATGGAATGAACCCTGCAGATCTAAGGAAAGGCCATTCCAGACCCTAGAGGAGGTCCAGGAAGGAAGTTCAGGAGCACAGGCCACAGAGGGTCACTGATTTCACCAATTTCACCAGGATCAGGGTTTTCCATACCACTAAGGCTGGAGGGACAAGGGACAGGAGCGTGAAAGGAGAGGCGAGGCTGGTGCCCCAGGAAACCCAAGCCTGGTCTCAGGCTGGTGAAGAGGTGGATGATGGAGCGAGTGGGGAATGAGTGGTCCCAGTGGCCGGAAAGCTTGCTGGGGGCTGATCTGGACAGATGGGAGGTGGGTGAGGTCCTGGGAGCGGAGGTTCTGGAGACCGGCGGGCATGGCCAATGATGAGCCCTAGGACGTGACTCTCACAATGGGGACTGAAGGGGTTGGAGGGAGGTGCCGTTGGAAAATTGCAGTAAGTGAGAAGAGTCAGAAATGGGAGGACCAGAGGGAAAGCCACTTCTCAGAGAAGAGTAACAGGTTCAACTTTGGTCCAATAATCACAATTTAGAGCTGACAGCAGCTTCAGAGGCCATGTGACAGATAAGGAAACTAAGGCCCCAAAAGCAGCCGTGGAGACCAGACCCAGGGGTTCCGGCCACGGCTCTGTGCCTTTTGTAAAGGCAGCCTATGTCTGCACTCACCTGTGCTCTGGCCCAGGCCGGCCCTGCACTTCGATTGCCGGGAGCCCTGCACGCGGAACTGTGTCTGCAGAAGCTCCTTTTGGCACCTGGGAGGGCACCTCTCATCAGTACTCCAGGACCTCGGCCATCGCCACGGACCGCAGGGTGAACGCTGGGTGGGCTGTACCATGGCCTCGGCCACCGCCTGCAGATCCAGGCTCCCTGCAGCCTGCTGGGCTGGTGGCCTCAGGGGACCGGTGAGCTGCGTCTGCCTGGGCTCCCGAAAGGCCGCTCCCAGATTTTGATTTTGCTTTGTTACCTAGAACCCAGGCCCTCTGTTGCCACAAGAGGGCCCCCCAGCCCCGGCTCACTGAGGCCCTCCCCGTGGAGGAGCGTATCCTGTCCGGTCCGCAGCTCAAATATCCAGAGATCGGGAGACCCCGGCCCTGGCCCCACCCCCGCCCCAGCTGGGCCACACTGCCCCCTCCACCACACCCCGGCAAGCCCCTCCTGGGGCTGCACTCAGTCCTGGGTGTCAGAGGGTCCTCTGGCTTCGCTTGTCACATTTAATGACAAATCAGAAATCAAATGTATCCAGAGCCAGCCTGGGCTTTAGGATAGAAGGGGAGGGCAGGAGTGGGGGCTCCGGGGACAGGGGCTGGCCGAGGAGGGAGGATGGGGGCAAGAGGATATTCGTGGGGCACCCACTCCCCACCCATCCGCCACCCCCTCCTCCCAGGGCTCCTTCTGAGGCCTCGCTGTCCCCGCCTTTTAGTAAAAAGTGGAGAAACAGCCTCACAGGGTGACCTGCTTCAGCTCCCAAAGCCATGCTGTGGCTGACCAGGGTCAGGACCCAGGTACCAGGTCCACGGCTCAGGGGTGGGAGCCAAGCCTCACTCGACTCCACGCTCAGGGCCGGGACCCAGGCCACAAGCCCGACCTTTGTCCTTTCCTCGAGCTTGCTGGGAAGCCTAGACTCACCCAAATCCAACCCAAAAAAGGCTGCAACAAACCAGCCTTGCTTGTGATTTCGTTTTATGATTTTCTTTTCACATTTTCTTACTATGGGAATTCTCATGGGTACATAAAAATAGACAGCTTAATATGCACCATATCCCATCCCTCAGCCTTGACAGTTGTCAACAGCCTGCCTTTCCTGCTTCAAATCTACCATGTAAGCCTTCATTTTATCTCATATGGTTTGCTTTTTTTTTTTTTTTTTTTTTTTTGAGCTGGTGTCTCACTCTGTTACCCAGGCTGGAGTGCAGTGGCGCCATCTCGGCTCACTGCAACCTCTGCCTCCCAGGTTCAAGCGATTCTCCTGCCTCAGCCTCCCGAGCAGCTGGGACTACAGGCTCACACCGCCATGTCTGGCTAATTTTTGTATTTTTGTAGAGATGGGGTTTCATGATGTTGGCTTCACAATGTTGGCCAGGCTGGTCTCAAACTCCTGGACTCAAGTAATCTGCCTGCCTCAGCCTCCCGAAGTGCTGGGATTACAGGCGTGAGCCACCATGCCCAGCCTTATTACGTATTTTTAAGCAAATTATTGGATCATACCATTGCACCCAAACAATGCTGCCGTGTTACACAGCCATTTGTCCAGCCTCCTGTTCTATGGATGAAGATCACCAGGGTTCTCCACTTTCCAGACGAACGAAGCCACTGACGACCCGACAGGCCACGTGACTTGGCACAGCGCAGCCCTCAGGATCAGGGTCCTATCAGAGCCCTCTGGGGATGCTGGTTGTGCCTGGTGGCATTGCAGGAGGGAACGAGCCCTGCCTGGACTGTCCCCAGGTGATCACACACATGCCACCGGGATGAGGCAGGAGGGTGGACCCTTGTGAGAGGAACAAGCCACGGGTGCTCTGTCCCCTGGCATCCCCTCAGCAGCAGGACTCTAAATCCCCTCGCCTCCTACTGAAGGAGGAGAGAAATGAGTAAGAAATTGAAGTTACCACTAACGTTATTTTTAGAAACTGCAGTACGAAATGAAAAAAAAATGTCTCCAGACTGCCGAGGAAACGAGAAATACATGCCTCCAAATTATATGAAAGGCAAGAAAACCACCCAAGTGCCAGTGACTCACAGGAGCTGGGGTGGGTTCAATCAGGATAGGGAACTCCTGGAGGGCCTTCAACTGGGCGGCAAGTTGATGGCACTGCTGTCACCCTGCAGGAAAGACCCGGCTCTCTTCCAAAGCCTCCCCAGCCATTTGCAAGCTCAGCGTGGGAAGCAGGCTGGGCTGAGCACGTCCAGGGCTCCCAAACTACGCTGGAGCCAAAATCCAGGACTCCCGCCTGAATTGGGATCCTTGGAGCGGGGTGCTGGAGGGAATGCTGCGGCCTCTCAGGTCTGTGACCGCGTCCACGCCAAGGCTTGCTGCATGCAACCCGTAAGCTGAGAGTTGCCACCATCCAGACACCACCCTGTGCAGCGGAGTGGGGCAGGGCAGGACTGAGAGACGGTGTCTGCCCTCCAGACCACCTTGCAGGCCCATGCTGTGGGGCTCAGTCTCCCTCACCCTGGGGCATGGATCAAGCAGGCCTGTCCCCTCTAAGAATGCCCCATCTCTGTAGTCCTCTGTAAAAGTCACTAATGCTTTCTGCCAAGTATTTCCAATTCTTGCCCCTTCTAGGCTCCTGCAGCAATTCCGCTCCCAGCCTCCTACCATGTTGGCCAACATTTTGACACGTGAACCTTCTGGGCTGGGCATGGGTCATGTGGCAGAGCCATTTCCCCTTGGCCATGGGGACTGGCAACATCCGACACGTCGGCTGCTCAGTGAGCCTGGTCCAGGCGTGGCAGTGTGAGGCAGAGTCCCCCAGCCCAGTAGCCCCCCAGTAACTGGGTAACCAATGTGACAGGACGGCCACGGGGAGGCCGGGGTGGTGCTCAGTGGGCAGAGGTGGCTCATTTACAGCACTGTGCCTGTGACGCTGTGGGAAGCCGACCTCACACCTAACAAAATCGCAGCTCCAGAGGAGGGGCCTGGAAACGATGTTAGTAGTAATGGGTGTTGCTTGCCTTTGGATTGCTTTAGAAAGATATTATAAGGAAATGATGCACTCAGAAAGTAATTATGTGGTTTGTAAGCCAGGATGAAAGGGAACGGAGAGTTCAATTCAGGAACGTGCAGGACTAAACAGAAGCTCCTCAAATACCAACAGCAAAATGGTAAAATGGAAAGATGCCTGAAGCAACAGCTGCCACAAAAGCTCAACGTCTTCAAGAGGGAAATCAAGCCATGGCCTCATGTCCACTTCCACCACATCTCTTAAGAGAAAACTCAAATCTTTTTTTCTCTGCTCTCACACAACTACAACAATCAGCACAGAAGACTTCTGTGACCCCAAAATATGTGGAGATTTCTCCCCACCAGCAAGCAAGCAGTCAGCACTACAGCAGACACCGTCTGGGTGTCCTGTAATTCCATCCTGACACTCTACCTGGAGAGAGCTTGTATTCCATAGGATGGGGGCTCCGTCCCCAAGACTGCCCCCTCCCACCTCAGACACCAGTTGCAAGCCTGTGCCTCTGGAACTTCTGACCAACTGGCTATAAATCAGGGTTCCCACAACCCCATCTCTGGGTTCAATTAATTTGCTGGAGCAGCTCATACAACTCAGGAAAACACTTATGTTTACCAGTTTGTTATAAAAGACATTGCAAAAGATACAGATGAAGAAACACATAGGGCAAAGTATGGGGGAAAGGGTGCAGAGCTTCCATGCCCTCCCCAGGGGCCACCCTCCAGGAGCCTCTGTGTGGTCAGTGTTCAGCCATCCTGAAGAGCCCTTTCCTCTTGGGCCTTTCATGGAGATGCATGGGGTGGGCATGATTGACAACCATGTAGAAATATGATTGGCCCAAAAGGATATGGTCTAAACCCGGCGAGGCTGTCTGGCCACATTCTTCTTGGCTTTTCTGGGCAGCATTCCCTCCTCCAGGGTGTGGGGTAGGACCCCCTCTGGAATGAGGGGCTTATGACCCACAAGCAGATTAGGGTTCCACCTGCCCAAGGCAGGTGAAAAGAGGGCAGAAGAAGATCAGGGAGAGAGATTCTGTTTGTTAGGGCTGTGGGAGTTATAAGCCAGGAACTGTGGACAAAACCCCATATATATATATATGTATATACATACATATATGCATATATTAAGCCATATGTGTATGTATGTATATATACATATACATATATGTATATACATCTATATGGGGTTTTGTCCACATTTTTTATACATTTTTTTTATATATAAGATAATATTACAATGTCTGAATGGACCGAAGTGAATCATGTCAGGTGGACACAATGGCTCGGGAAAAACAGACAAAGGGTATGGCATTCCTATGTAAGCTCTGTCGCCTCGAGAGGCCTGCAATCGTCTCTCTCCATAATTTCAGTAAGAAGCCGAACAAACGCATTTTTAAGAGGATGGTAACACCAAAGGACCTATAAACCTAGAAGAAAATCATCAATTATCATTATCTGTAGCAGTTTATGTTCTAAAAAGTCACTGTAAACACGGATTTAGAGATGAATGAACCATGCTCCTAGGAGAAAGACAGGGTTAAGGTTCCTGAGAGCTCTGGTCACTAAATTTTCATCAATCCACACACGATCTTGTTTTATGTGTGTTTCTGTTTAAAGACACCTGTGTAATATTGTTGACTCATTAACATTGAAGCTTTCTCTAAGATGCCTTTTTTCTCTGTCTGGCACATGGCACCCGGCTTCCCAGTGCTTAGGACCACATCATCACTATGCTTGGGCCAACTTAGACAGCAAAACCACCCAAAAAAAAAAAAAAGTCACTAAGGAGACCATGGAAAGACCCGTGTTTACAGGATGAGCTAGAACGAGAAGGCAGAACGTCACTGTGTGCAACCTCAGCTGGGAACATGCACATCCTATGTCTTAAACTTTCCCCCTCCCTGTATGTGTCCAGTGACCCGGAGTGCCCCAAGTATTGATGTGGGGGTTACAAATACATTTTCCCCAGCGGGTGAATTCACAGACTGCATTTGTGATCGTTTGAGAACTTGAGAATAACCCAGGGCTCCCATTCTTTGAGGAGTGGCAGAGAGGCTGAGAAAGTGGGGACTCTCCAGTGCCTGGGACGCAGGTGGCCCAGGGGACAGACCAAAGGAAGGGCCAGTCACTGCCACCAAGAACATGGACTGGGGCCTGCCTAGGGAGGAGAGCTAGGGCCACATCAGGGAGTGTCCCCTACCGAACTGGGATCTCCGGCTGGCCGCACTCCACGATTGCCATGTGCTTGCCACTCTGCCCCTCTCTGAATGGGGGCTGGTTGCTATTGTCTCTGCTCCCACATTTCATAGTAAACAGGTAGGAAAAGTGAATGACTTGTCTTTCCACTTCATAGGTCTCCAGTCCAGAAAGGGCCTGTCCAGACCCGCTGAGGACCACTGGACACCACCCACAATGGAGAGACCACCTAGATCGCCAGGGCAGCCGTAGCACTTCCGGCAGGACTGGTGGGAACTTCAGGTAGGACTGGCGGGAACTTCAGGTGGGAGAGAGAGAATGTTCTTCATACGTGAGGGGAAGAAGCTTGACCTTGGGATGGCCATGTGATGTCAGCACTGGTCAGTTACTTCTGGTTTCTCTACTCTGGGAGGGTGGCAGTGTGGTAGGCGGGTCCCCAGGAAACAGACTCAGATTCAGACCCTAGCAGGCAGGAGGCTCATCGTGAAGTTCCCTTGGGGTCAAGGGTCATGGAAAGGAGGCAGCAGAGGATGGCACAGGGAGAGAGACGGCAGCCTTGAGCCCCCATGGAGAGAGAGAACCATCCCATCACGCTTGGCCCAAACAGCCATGCCTGACCTTCCCTAGGGGTCGTTCAGGCCTCCTCTGCGGCAGGTGCTCTCTGGGAGCACCTGCCTGTTACACACAGATCTTTGCACCTCCTGCCCACTCCCCCACGTCCAACCCATGCCTCATCCCTGACTGCCCATCCCCACTCTCCACATCGCTCCCATTCTGGGTTCAGCCGGCAAAGTCGTTGGCCATTGCCCATGGGTTCAGAGATCTTCTAACCTCACAGCCACTTACACAGAGGGGATGACCACTGGGAGAATGTTCCCTCATCACCCTCTGTGTTAGTCCGTTCTCACATTGCTATAAAGATACTACCCAAGACTGGGTAATTTATAAAGAAAAGAGGTTTCATTGACTCACAGTTCTGCATGGCTGGGGACGCCTCAGGAAACTTACAATCATGGCGGAAGGGGAAGCAGGCACGTCTTACGTGGTGGTGGGTGAGAAAGACAAGTGCAAGCAGGGGAATTGCCAGACACTTATAAAACCATCAGATCTCATGAGAACTCCTTCACTATCACGAGAACAGCATGGGGAAAACAGCCCCCATGATCCAATCACTTCCCATCAGGTCTCACCCTCATCACCTGGGGATTACAGTTCAAGATGAGATTTGGGTGGGGACACAGAGCCAAACCATATCACCCTCTTTAAAGGGCAGCTTGCTGAGACTGGAGTATGGCAGCCAGGCGATTTGGGCTGGCCCCACAGGCAGAGCAGACACCTCCATGAACTGAGGCCGGGCTTGTCCCTCCCTCCTCAGTTCACCAGAAGGTTCCTCCACTGGGGCTGTGGGGACTGCTGTGGAGGGTGGGGGGGGGTACTGGGCAGCTGCCGCTGCTTGGCCTCCTGCTCCTGCTTCTGCTGCTGCCACACGCACACTCCCACCTGTGATGGGTTATTTCTGAGTCCCCAACCTCATGACCCAGGGGTGAGACAGAATCCAGCTCATCTGAGCAGTTCCACATGCACAATCAGGTATTCCATCACCCCAGGCCCCAGGAGCACATCAACAGGGACTTTTCAGAATTTTTCGCAGAATCCTCTGCCGCAGATGGCACGGCTTTGTTTCTGAATCCCAGGGGCCTGCACTGTGATTCTGGCATAGTGGTTTGCCATAAACACACAGCATTGCTTTCCCACGTCTGATACCTCTCATAACACAGGGTCCGACCAGCTGCAGGGCCTGAGTCACAGGGCTGCCAGCACTGCAGCCTCGACCTGCTGCAGGCTCAGGGAAGGCCGACAGCTTCTCCTATCAATGGTACATAGGCTGGAGTAGTCTTCATGTGTGTGGAACGTGCTGCCTCCAGAAGGCGTACTGGCATTGTCTGTCTCTCTTGGTCATGGGAGATGCAAGATGCAGTAATTGGCTCTTTGCTGTGGACAGGAGGCCCAGTATGCTCCTGGTTATGGGATATGGGACCTCCCCACCAAGAGTGTTATTAGTGGCAGTTCCCAGAATCTTTGTAGGATTTGTCTGCCAGCTGCAGGCACTCAGGCATCTTACCAAGACTCCCAGTGTGTTAGCTGCTTCTTGGTTAGCACCCGGCCAGCGCAATGTAATCAATGTGGTGGGCCAGTGCCATGCTCTTTGGGATATCCAGCTTGTCCAGTTCTCTCTGGGCTTCCTTAGGGCATAGAATACATGGTTTATTAGCACATAACACTGAGGCAAAGCCAAGGTCCACTGTTATTCATCCTATGTGAAGGCAGGCTCTTTCGGATGCTCTTTCCTCGTAGGAATAGAAAAGAATGCACTTGCCATCTCAGTGGGGCAGAGCACACACCTGAGGCTGTGTTGATCCACCTTGACCGAGATCCCGCGCCTGGCAGGGCAGCTGCCGCTGTGGATTCTCCTTGGTGCAGCTTGCTGAAGTCCACTGTCTTCCTCCAGGAGTCTCCTATTTCTGCAGAGGCCAGCCTGGTAAATTAAATAGAGATACATTGAAGACCACCACCCCTATCCTTCAGCTCCTTAAGAGTAAAACTGAGTCACAACAGCTTGCATAAATCCTGTTTAAACATTTCAACTTACATAATCCTATCAACTTTTCATTTGTATGCTGTGGTCCTATTAGGGGTGGAAAATATCTGAGTCTCATGGTACCACATATGTTACCAGTGGAGGTATCCGAGTTATTGGCAGTGAATCCTTATGGGTCTGCAGCAACCTCAATTCTTGCCTCCTCAGAAGAAAGAATTAGACTGAGGGGCATAAGGCAAAAAAAGACACCAAGGCAACTTTCAGAAGAGGAATGGAAGTTTCTTTCAAAAGGCTTTAGAACAGGAAAGAGGCCGGGTGTTGTGGCTCACGCCTGTAATCCCAGCACTTTGGGAGGCCGAGGCGGGTGGATCACGAGGTCAGGAGATCGAGACCTTCCTGGCTAACACAGTGAAACCCCGTCTCTACTAAAAATACAAAAATTAGCCGGGCGTGGTGGTGGGCGCCTGTAGTCCCAGCTACTCGGGAGGCTGAGGCAGGAGAATGGCGTGAACCCGGGAGGCGGAGCTTGCAGTGAGCCGAGATCGCACCACTGCACTCCAGCCTGGGCGACAGAGTGGGACTCCGTCTCAAAAAAAAAAGAACAGGAAAGAAAGAAAACACACTTGGGAGAGACCCAAGTGGAAGGTCGAGTGCAGTGGTCGACCTAGGTTAACCATGATCCTAGGACTTTCCAGGCTGGCCCCTTTCCCATGGTTCTTCCCTTAGGATGGGCTGCCCGCATGCACATGCCCCCCTTACCCTTGGGAGGTGAGCACACACAGTGTGTTTAGGAAGTGGTACGCATGCCCCTCTGAGGCTTTCTTCCCTTTTCCTGTGGTGTGCCCCTGGAAGGTCACATTCTGCCATTTTGTTTCTTAATGCACATGGCTGGGAAGGTGCTTCTCCCTGGCGCCTGCATTCAGTGAACACTTTAGTGCAACAGGTGTAGACCATCAGGAAATGGCCTCTCACTGGTGCCGGCTGCCAATTTATCCCTTTTAGAGAGACAATGTGATCATTGCCAAAGCATCACCTGACGTTCCTAGTGGGTGGGAGAAGAGCTCTCTCCTCCCTCTGCTCATGAGTGTCTAACTATACCTGTAACAGCACCAGGAACTTCTTTTTTCAACCCCCAGACCATTCTTCCCTCTCTTGTAAAAAAGATTTAGGTTCCCAGCAGGGGCTGAGCCAAGGGTCTCTCTTGCCAAACTTTAATCTGGACTTATCTGCATCAGCGTTGCCCTAGGTAACTATTGCTCAGCTTTCTCATTGCAATCTTTGCCCTCTGATTTTTTTTTTTAATTTATCCAATCTGGGATAAATACAGAAAACTGGTTTGGGGCCCTTTAACATTGTGGGGGCCAGTGGAGGCTTCCTTTGGTTCACCCAACTTTTGACAGCATTGATTAAGACCTTTGTTTCTGCTGGGCGTGGTGGCTCACACCTGTAATCCCAGCACTTTGGAAGGCTGAGGTGGGTGAATCATTTAAGGTCAGGAGTTTGAGACCATCCTGGCCAACATGGCAAAACCCTGTCTCTACTAAAAAATACAAAAAAATTAGCAGGGCATGTTGGTGCACGCCTATAGTCCCAGCTACTCGGGAAGCTGAGGCAAACGACTTGCTTGAACCTGGGAGGCTGAGGTTGCAGTGAGCAGCTGAGATTGTGCAGTGCCAGCCTGGGCAACAGAGCAAGACTAAATCTCAAAAAAAAAAAGAAAAACTTTTATTTTAACTCCATCAATTTCCATTTTATTCTTTTGCCGCTATAAGATATTTGAAGAGATTTATTCTGTGCCAAATCTGAGTGACCATGGCCTGTGACACAGCCCTCAGGAGTTCCTGAGAACATGTGCCCAAGGTGGTCGGGGCACAGCTTGTTTTTATATATTTTAGGGAGGCATGAGACATCAATCAAATACATTTAAGAAATACATTGGTTTGGTTCAGAGAGGCGGGACAACTCAAAGCGGGGCCTTCCAGGCTATAGGTAAATTTAAACATTTTCTGGTTGACAATTGGTTGAGTTTATCTGAAGACCTGGGATCAATGGAAAGGAATGTTTAGGTTAAGGTAAAGGATTGTGGAGACCAAGTTTTATTGTGCAGAGGAATCGCTCAGATAGCAGACTTCAGAGAGAGAGAGAGCAGGTTGTAAAATGTTTCTTTTCAGACCTAAAAGGGTGCCTGGCTCTTAGTTGATTATCTCCGGGATCTGGAAAAAAAGGGAAGGAAAACAAAGTGGGAAGGGCATTCTCTATAGAATGCGGATTTTTCCCACAAGAGACTTTGCAGGGCAATTTCAAGGTATGGCAAGGAAATATATTTTGGGGTTAAATATTTTTTTCCTTGTCTCATAATGTTATGCCAGAGTCAGATTGAAAGTAAGTCACAATATATAGGGTTAAATAAAACCCACCTGATAAGAATTTATGGTTTGTAGGGCATGATTCCCCAGACCCCTTAAGTAGGAATTTGGGCAAGATAAAAAATAAGAAAAAATAAGTCCTCCATTCATTCCATTTCTTAGTAATTATCTAAAGATTGCCACCCTGGGATAAGCCCCAAGACTCTCTCGTCTTTCCTCTTAGCCTCATCTATCAATTTTTAAAAATTTATTTACCTTATTTTTATTTTATTTTTTATTTTTTATTTTTTTGAGACGGAGTTTCGCTCTTTCACCCAGGCTGGAGTGAAGTGGCGTGATCTCAGCTCACTACAACCTCCGTCCCCCCGGGTTCAAGTGATTCTCCTTCCTCAGCCTCCTGAGTAGCTGGGATTATAGGCACCTGCCACCACGCCCGGCTAATTTTTGTGTGTGTGTTTATTTTTAGTAGAGATGGGGTTTCTCCATGTTGGCCAGGCTGGTCTTGAATTCCTGACCTCAGGTGATCCACCTGCCTCGGCCTCCCAAAGTGCTAGGATTACAGGCGTGAGCCACCACGGTACCTGGCCTATTTACCTTATTTTTAAATAACCATTTAAAAATGTCCACTTCCCTTTGATGGATTCTGACTCTTCCTTTTGCCTTTCCCCTGCTCTTAACTAACCTCATGTTTTTATCAGCATCTGTAAGACCCATGAGAAGAAACCAGCTGCTTCATCTGAGGTGCTGCACTTGGCATTTATATTGGAGTCAGACCGTCCCTTCTCAGGGTAAACAGACCTTCCAGTGCCTTTTATCCGGTTCCCCAGGCTGGCTGCTCCCTCAGGAATACTCTCCTGTGTGTCTGGATTGTGTATACCCAGCTGCATTGTTCAGTGGTGAGTGTGGGTCCTGCATCAACCCAAACATGCTCTTTCCCTCTGCAGCATTTTAAACCAGAGACACTGCTCCCAAATTAGTCACTCTCACAATCCATTTTCATAAAGGTTCTTCAGGGAGCTGATGATCCAGATCTACAAAATGGAACAATTCCTTCACACGCCCCTCTAGTTTCAATAGTCGCTTGCTTTTTCCCTTCCCGAACATTGACTATCTTCTTGGTAACTACAGGTCTCAAAGGTAATTTCTTTTGTTCCTGGCATAATTTTCCCGTTTGTGGGTAGCTTTGAGGCTGGTGATCTGAGCTCAGACAGACTCACATCTGAGCTCAGACAGACCCAGATCTGAGCTTGGTCCAGCCCCAAGGCCCAACCCAGCATTCTCTTCCTTTCATTTTGAAACAATCTTTAAATATCCTCTATTCTACATAAAATTGCTTTTCCTTTCAGCAAAAACCACGTTTTTATAACCTTTACCAAACACACTCTGAGTAATCCCAATTTCTGCTGAAAACCCTAGGATTAATTTAACATAACATGACTTTAAGATCTTAAATTCCTGAAGAGAATTTTGAAACTGGTTTTATTTACCATAGATTACCAAAATCACATGTGCTAAAAGGCATTCGAGCTACCATCTATTTTTCTGATAAAATATTTGATTTAAGCATGTAAATGTTCTCCTTCATATATTTTGGTAGTGCTGGGAATGCAAAATGCTTGTTCCCTGGTGCCATAAAGAAATAGCACTTGAGGGCTGGGCGTGGTGGCTCATGCCTATAATCCCAGCACTTTGGGAGGCCGAGGGGGGCGGATCATGAGGTCAGGAGATTGAGACCATCCTGGCTAACACGGTGAAACCCCATCTCTACTAAAAATATACAAAATTAGCTGGGCATGGTGGTGGGCGCCTGTAGTCCCAGCTACTCAGGAGGCTGAGGCAGGAGAATGGTGTGAACCCGGGAAGCGGAGTTTGCAGTCAGCCAAGATCGCGCCACTGCACTCCAGCCTGGGCGACACAGCGAGACTCCATCTCAAAAAAAAAAAAAAAAAAGAAATATCACTTGAACATAAATTTAATTCTCTCAGCAAGGCAATTTTCACTTTCTGCAGAAAGGGTACACTCACCAGCAGTCTTGCCACAAGAGTACACCAAACAAAGGAAAAGCAGATGTATTTATCCCTTACGTATTTGGGTCATCCTTACTGCTGTGTCCTGCATCCATTGGCTGGAGCCGAACCTCACAGTCTAAACTGACACTCGACTTGCTAACAACCTAAAACTTTCTTAAATAGGTAAAGGCAAAGGGAGAACAAAGGAAAGGAGGAAGTTGCTTATGAAAGATTTAAAGAAGCAATAACATTTCCAAATAAGGAAGGGGCATAGGCTGTGAGCTGGAACGTGCCTGTGAGCATGTCCAACAGCTACATAGGATAGGGCTTAACAAAGAGTTATTAGCACAAAGCAAGGAGGCTTGAAGAAAGTCAGTCTTTAAAAGAAACTATTATTTCTAACACTTATGATTTATTCTTTAACAGGAAGGGAAACTTTGAAGAGGAAACTTTTTACTTTCTACAGTAGCGAAGTGTCACATACGCATGACACATATGTAGACGTAGCAGACACAGCAGCAGATCTTATACATTTAATAAGATTTTTCTTTTGCCATTTTTTAAAGATTCTCCCTCACTTTAGACTATTAATCTCTTGATTTCCTGTTTCATGCCCTAAACAAATGTTAGGGAGAAAATTCTAAATCTGCATCTCCCAAGACAGGACTCTGGGGAAACAGGTAGAAAGGAACAGAACTTCAATCTAAGCAAAAGCAAGGTCTGTTATGTAGACTTTAAGCCATTGTCTTCTCCATAGAGAAAGTTTCTAGTGGTTTCAGTACGGAGACAGACACGCCCTTACAAATGGAGATTCCCTCTAAAGATGTACATTTCCTTTACAAAGCGTGTTGAAGGCTGATTCGTTGGATAGGCGGTCTTTTCAATTTAGCTTGTTTCTTAATTAGATTACTGGCTTTAAGGTAGAGCCCTTTAAGGACCAGGACCAAGAAAGCATGCAGGTTTTAGGACCTAAACCACGACTTTCTTATTCAAACGTGCAAACACCCAAGTACCCCCGTATCAATGATCGTTTCCATTGCACGACTGTCCTGAGCCACCTCCAACACTATGGCTTTCACCCGCCATCAACCACCAGCCATCACACACATCAAGGTCAAGTCCTCTCACAGTGCCAAGCAGTCTCTAGTGCCCTACAAACAGCCAGCGAGCCCAGTAACACAGTACAAGAGAGCAGAGCCCTAGACCTGAGGGGAACCTGTCTGCTTACAACCTAGGATGCCACGAGGAAAAACAGGTTCCTCCCAAAGAGAGGAGACTGGTGCCTTTTCCCTGTTCCCCAAGGATCCTAGGCTGTCAGAAATTTCCTTGTTTAGGTCCTCATGTGTCATTGAAGGTTGCAAGAGGAAAGAGGGACAGACAGAAGCAAACAGAGAAACAGACAGGGTTCTCGACTGAGAAGTTTTACAGAGAGCAGAGGCCGTAAAGCAATAAGCAAGCCGGGCGCAGTGGTGCAAGCCTGTAATCCCAGCACTTTGGGAGGCTGAAGTGGGTGAATCACCTGAGGTCAGGGGTTCGAGACCAGCCTGACCAACATGGTGAAACCCAACTCTACTAAAAATACAAAAATTAGCCGGGCATGGTGGCGGACGCCTGTAGTCCCAGCTACTCTGGAGGCTGAGGCAGGAGAATTGCTTGAACTTGGGAGACGGAGGTGCAGTGAGCCAAGATCTCACCACTGTACTCTAGCCTCTAGCCCGGGTGATGGAGCAAGACTCCGTCTAAAAAAAAAAAAAAAATAGCAATAAGCAATAGGCGTGAACACATATACAACCCACATGGCAGATTGAACCAAGTTACCTTTTGACTGCCAAGCTCTTTTAAAAACCTTTTCCCAGTTGTAATTCCTACCAAAGCCATTTTACTTTGCCTCTGCTGCTGGCTGGGCTCCATCACCAAACAGGCAGCCCCTAGAAGCAGCCATCCACAGCAGTAGCTGCTCACCACCCTTCCTTACCGCTATGTGATGGATGGCTCTCAGCTAATGATTGCTTTAAGCATGCCAGCAGTTTAGGGACATCACTGCATTCACACACATGCACCTAAAAGGCGAACCATGCTGCTCCACGTGGAAGTGGCTGCTGCCTGGGATTTCTCCCACAGATGCTTCATTCCCTTTGCACATTTCTTGGTCTCTCAGTCCACGTTTTACAGTGGGCAGGTCTAGGCAAACCAGCCCCAAAGTCCAAAGAAGCTGAGAAGCTGACACATTGAGTTTCTTAGAAATGTTTCATACGGACTTACAAAGAGAAGCCATGGCTGTGTCTCAGGTGGCAACGAGATGAGATGGTGGATCCCTACCCCTCAGCCCCAGACCCAGAGCTTATATAGCACAGGGAGGAGTGGTTCAGAAGGAATGTGCAGGATGATTGAAGGATGATAATGTCAAGGTTGTTTGACCTAAGGGCAGGACCTACAGTAAGTAGCTGCTCTTACACAGGGAGTGGTAGATAAACTGGAAATCTTAGAGGCCTCCTCAGAATGTTAATCATAAGCCAATGTAAACCAAAAATAAAATTCTAAGTCCCCCAGCCATCTGAATGAATGCCTCCTCTTGGCCAAGGGCATTCCAAAGTTAACCTGAAAAGCTAGTTCAGGCTGTGATGGGAATCAGGAGCCAGACATACCTTATTATCCCCTCCTCCCTTTTGGCATTACTAATAGAACTGGTGAACAAAAGGAGTCAAACTCTGTAAAATATTTGAAGAGATTTATTCTGAGCCAAATATGAGTGACCAGTGGTCCGTGACGCAGCCCTTGGGAAATCCTGAGAACACGTGCCCAAGGTAGTCAGGGTGCAGCTTGGTTTTATACATTTTAGGGAGACATGAGACATCAATCAAATATATTTAAGAAATATGTTGGGGCTGGGTGTGGTGGCTCACACCTGTAATCCCAGCATTTTGGGAGGCCGAGGTAGGGGGATCATCTGAGGTCAGGAGTTTGAAACCAGCCTGACTAACATGCTGAAACCCCATCTCTACTAAAAATACAAAGAAAAAAAAAAATTAGCCGGGCGTAATGGCAGGCACCTGTAATCCCAGCTACTCGGGAGGCTGAGGCAGGAGAATCACTTGAACCCAGGAGGCGGAGGTTGCAGTGAGCCGAGATTCCGCCATTGTACTCCAGCCTGGGTGACAGAGTGAGACTCCGTCTCAAAAAAAAAAAAAAAAGAAAGAAAAAAATAAAAGAAACACATTGGTTCAGTCCAGAAAGGTGGAACAACTTGAAGCTCAGGGGTTGGGTGGTTATAGGTAGATTAAACATTTTCTGATTGGCAGTTGGTTGAAAGAGTTAGCAATAGAAAGGAATGTCTGGGTTATGATAAGGGGTTGTGAAGAACAAAGTTTTTTTATCGTGCAGATGAAGCCTCTAGGTAGCAGGCTTCAGAGAGAATAGACTTAAATGTTTCTTATCAGACTTAAGGTCTGTGTTGATATCCATGCTGGCGGGTACAATGAGGCACGTCTGACCCCCACTTCCTGTAATGGCCTAAACCAGTCTTTCAGGTTAAATTTAGAATGCCATGGCCTAGAAGGAAGTCCATTCAGATGGTTGGGTGGCCTTCAAATTTTATTTTTGGTTTATAGAACAGAATTTTTAAGTCTAATAAGAAACATTTACAATCTATTGTCTCTGAAGGCTGCTACCTGGAGGCTTCACCTATGGTCTCCACAACCCCTTATCTTCACCCAGACATTCCTAAGTCTTTCAACAGTAACTTAACTCTTTCAACCGACTGCCAATCAGAAAATCTTTGAATCTACCTATGACCTGGAAGCCCCCACCTTCCAGTTGTTCCACCTTTCCACACCAAACCAATGTACATCTTCCATTTATTTGAATAATGTTTCATGTCTCCCATGACCACCTTGCACCCAGACCACCTTGAACGCATGTTCTCAGAACCTTCTAGGGCTGTGTCACAGGCCATGGTAACTCATATTTGGTTCAGAATAAATCTCTTCAAACATTTTAGAGTTTGACTCTTCATCAACACCAATATATTAGTCCTTTCTCACACTGCTATAAAGATACTACCTGATGCTGGGTAATTTATAAACAAAGGAGGTTTCATTGACTCACAGTTCCACATGGCTGCGGAGGCCTCAGGAAACTTACAATCATAGTGGAAGGTGAAGGGGAAGCAAGGCACAACTTACATGGCAGCAGGAGAGAGAATGAAGAGCGAACTGCTACTTATCAACTATCAGATCTTATGAAAACTCACTCACTATCATAAGAACAGCATGGGGGAAATTGCCCCCATGATCCAATCACCTCCCACCAGGTCCCTCCCTCAACACGTGGGGATTGCAATTCGAGATCAGATTTGGGTGAGACACAGAGCCAAACCGTATCAACCAACATGGCAGATTAGCATCCAGGCTGGAGCTGCTGTGGCCTCCACAACCCTCTGTCTCAGTGCCATAATCTCTGGTGTATAAGAAAGATTTATGTTATTTCTCATTCATACTCCATGTGCACTGCGGTAGTTTTGGGGGCTTTTCTCTCACTCTGGGATCCACCCTAATGAAACAGCCACCACCTTAAAGGTTGAAAGAGACCACGCCTCAGGGAATGAGACCTCTGATGCACATTACCTGTGCTCACAGCTCATTGGCCACAGCAGCCATGTGACCGCACCCAACCACAAAGCTGCACAGCTCATTGGCCACAGCAGCCATGTGACCACACCCAACCACAAAGCTGCACTTGTATGAGGGCAAGACCAACTTCTTCAAAGCCAGTCACTCAAAGGGGATTCCTTAGAAAGGAATTCCCCAGGGTTGGTTGTCAACACTGGCTAGGACTTCCAGTACAATCTTACTCAGAAGCAGGAAGAGCAGCCATCATTGCCTCAAAGGAACATTTCACTTTTAATTATGATGGTTTCTGTAGGTTTTGGGGCATATATTTAATCAGATTAAAGAACTTCCATTATAGTCTAGTTCACTAAGAGTCCTTTTTTAAAATTACAAGTGTACATTGATTTTTTTCATGCCTTTTTCCTAATCTGAGATGGTTTAATCCTGCCTTTAATAGTTATAAAACTATTCACATTTCATTTATTATTAATTTTGGTAAGTATATTTCTGTTGTATATTTGTTTTCTATTTCAATAATTTCTGTTTTTTTCCTTCCTTCTACTTTGTTTGTATTTGTTTTTGTTCTAACTTCTTTCTTTTTTTGAAACTAGGTCTTGCTCTGTTGCCCAGGCTGGAGTGCAGTGTCACAATCATGGCTCACTGTGGCCTCCACCTCCCAGGTTTAAGCAATCCTCCTACATACCTATATATGTGTGTATATGTATAATAGAATGAAAATATAACGAATTTAGAATTGTTATATCTTCCCGGTGAATAAAGCATCCTTCTTTGTCTCTAATATATTTGTCTCCAATAATTTTATGCCTAAAGTCAATTTTGTCTGATATTAGCATATGTACATTAGCTTTCTTTTTCTGAGTATTGCCACATTATGCTTTTTCCATTATTTTATTTTAAGTCACTTTTATTCTTACGTTTTCGGTATTGTGGAATGCAGCAAAGCAATGCCTAGAGAGAAATATTGATCTTAAATGCATTTCTTCAGTTTAAAATTTTTTCTTAATCAATATTTTTTCAAGTATTTTTTCTGAGCATTCTTTTCCACTTCTCCTTTTCAGACTCCAGTAAATAGTTTTTAAAACTTCTCACAGTATCTTCTATGTTTTTTACCACCTCTTTTGAATGTTCAATTTTTATGTCCCTATCCATGCTTGATTCTGGATAGTTTCTTTTTTTTTTTTTTTTTTAAGACAGAGTCTCACTGTCGCCCAGGCTGGAGTGCAGTGGCATGATCTCGGCTCACTGCAACCTCCACCTCTCAGGTTCAAGGGATTCTTTTGCCTCAGCATTCTGAGTAGCCGGGATTACAGGCGTAAGCCACCACATCTGGCTAATTTTTTAAAATATATTTTTGGTAGAGACAGGATTTCACCATGTGGACCAGGCTGGTCTGGAACTCCTGACCTCAAGTGATCCACCCACCTCGGCCTCCCAAAGTGCTGGGATTACAGGTGTGAGCCACCGTGCCAGGCCTGGATAATTTCTTTTATCCATTTTCAAGTTCACTAATTTTCTTATTAGCTGGCCCAATGTTCTGTTAAACCCATCCATTGAGTTCTTAATTTCAAAATTATATATTGCAGTTCTTAAATTTGTATATGAACTTTTTCAAATCTGTCATGTCTTTCTAAAATAGTTTAACGGTCTTACCTATTTAAAAGCTTTACCTGGTTGGCTGGGCACAGTGGCTCATGCCTGTAATCCCAGCACTTTGGGAGGCCAAGGCAGGCGGTCTCAAGTTCAGGTCAGGAACTCCTGAGGTCAGGAGTTCAAGACCAGCCTGGCCAACATGGCAAAACCCCATCTCTAGTAAAAATATGAAAATTAGCCGGGCATGGTGGCATGTACTTGTAATCCCACCTACTTGGGAGGCTGAAGCAGGAGAATCACTTGAACCCTGGGGTCAAAAGTTGCAGTGAGCCGAGATCACCCCACTGCACTCCAGCATGGGTGACAAAGTGAGACTCTGCCTCAAAAAAAATTAAAATAAAATAAAAAGAAAAGCTTTACCTGGTTAATTTCAGTATCTGGAGCCCATGATGGTTGAATTTTATTGTCCTCGTTTCTGTGGATTCTTGTCCACACTGTCTTTTCTTTTTGTGTGTTTGCTTATTTTAGATTGTGTGCTAGACATTGTATTTGGAAAAAAAAATACATTTTGTGGACACAATCTGCTGATACACTCTTTCTCTGCAAATTTTTTGTAACTACCAAGCAACTGGGTATATTCACAATCTGGAATCATCTTAATCTAATTTTAGAAATTGAGATTTTTCTGGACCCTCGAGATATCTAAAAACTGAAATAAAGTTATTGAAATGATTTGTCTATTTCCGGCTTTTTTTTTTTCCTTAGATGTAATTCTTCAAAGTCCTAATGTGAAGAAGAAGGGTTGCTAAGACCCCCACCCTCAAAATTGGAGTGTCTCAGATGCTAAATTTTGTCCTTTATTCCTACAGAATGGCAAAAACATATGGCTCCACCTCTTAACCATCTCTTCCATGACTAAAAAAACACTCCCAAGGAAAAATTGCCCCAAATGCTGGGTTCATTTGCCTGAATTTTTATCTTCTTCCTCATGTTGGCCCAGTAGTTTTTTGCTATCTCACTAGCCCATCAGTATTCAAGTATTTTTTTTTTTTAAGTATTTTGTTCAAAAGTTTCTGGCTATCTGCCAAAAGAAGGTTGGTCCATATTGCTTAGTTCACCATTACTAGAAAGAGAAGCTTTATACTGTCATGCTCAGTAGAAATTTAAAAATAGCTCATCTTCTTCTGACACCAATACATCATAGCTTCGTATTTTCTCACTTTGACAGCCTGGTTATGCTGTTCTATACTCTTGAATACAAGTGGGAAAAAACAATTTGGTCAAACTTTTTAAAAAGTTTGGATGCTTGAGCACAGACTAACCAAAAAGTCTGAATATGATGCATTCCAAAGATTCTGAGTCCACGGGTTGTCTAGAGTTCAGAATGCATGTTTCCATGCCTGACAGGCCAACCCACAGGAACCCCTCATGGGGCTGAGCTACGGAGGCTACAGCAGTGGCCCAAATTCTGTGTTATGGAAGCAGCAGGTACAGATAGAAAGAGAACTACAGGAGAAAGAAATGTGCCCCCTCTCATGCTAGGGCCCTCACGCATGAAGGACCCCAGGAGAAAATGTCAGACAGGCCTTCCCTGGGGTTGGCATGTGCCCGCTGTATTAGTCTGTTCTTACACTGCTATAAAGAACTACCTGAGACTGGGTAATTTATGAAAAAAAGCAGTTGAATTGACTCATAGTTCTGCAGGCTGTATAGGAAGCATGGCTGGGAGCGCCGCAGGAAACTTACAATTATGGCAGAAGAGTGAAGGGGAAGCAAGCACCTTCTTCACGTGGCAGAGCAGGAGGAAGAGAATGAAGTTGGGGGCTGGTCGTGCTAGGCACTTTTAAACAACCAGGTCTTGGAAGAACTCTATCAAGAGACAGCACCGGGGGATGGTACTAAACTATTAGAAACCACGCCATGATCCAGTCACCTCCCACCAGGCCCCACCTCCAACACTGGAGAATTATAATTCAACATGGATTTGGGTAGGGACACAGAGCCAAACCACATCACCCACCTCTCTGCATTCTGAGCACACTGCTTCCCTTATTCCAAACTCTCCAGGTGCCCTGGGCCTTCCTGAGGTGCTCGGGACCCAATGAAGGGTCCCCATCCACCCTGTCCTCCCTGCTCAAAGTGCCCCATGCTCCCAAATCCAACCGTTCCCTCCAATAATAAAACCTCAAATTCTCTCCTTGCTGGCCACCTCCGTTCAGAGTTGAGGGAGGGAAGAAACTGCAAACTCATACTAATCCCCTGCCAGTTTGTCTTAGTTTTCAAAGTGACTCTTCTTATAACAGGTGTAACAAGTGAATTGATCATTTCGGGCAAGGAAACAGAGCAGAGAGGAAGCCTGAAGGCAAAGTTGGGGAACCGATGTGGAGGCAACAGTTAGAGAGAAGGTCATTGAGGAGAGGGCACTTCCACTGCCGCCTCCCTCAGCGGGGTCCTGCCTTTCCAGCCCCTCTCCCTCCAAATCCCAGGATTCTCTCAGCGCCAGGGCCAGGGATTTACTTCCAGTGGTTCTGGGGGTGTCCATGTGGTATTAAGGAGCCACAACTGACAGAGGAGATGGGATAGGGGCACTTGGGGGCTGCCCTGAGGCTCCTGGGACTTACTGGATTTATGAGGATTTATGAGAATTTAGGAACTAGGCATCCATAACCCTAGGAGTCTCTGGACTCATATTTTTAAGATTTTTGCCTCAGATAAATAAAATATTTTTATAGGCTACAACGTTGCTGCTTTTTTTCTGTTCTTTAAATCATCAGTTTAAAAATAAATTGCATTCAAGTTTTCATTCCTGGCAGGGTGCAGGGTTAAGCCGCCTACATTTGACTTTAACAGATGATTTCATTGCACTCAATTTTTTTATAAAACAGAAAACCTTCCTAGGTTGTTGCAACCACAAAGAGGAGGCTACTATATAAGAAGGTAAAGGATTCTTAACACACCGCAGAGCCGCACAGGTCTTTGTCGTTAGCCAAGCTGGATCCTGGCAACCACCTAGGACAGTCAACGTGGGGTTTTCTATTTTACAGGTGAAGAAAATGAGGCTTTCCGGTCTGGCTGCTCATCCAGGGCCCTGGTTCCCAGTACAGCGGGCCACGCTGGGCTAGGGTATTATCTGTGTGTCTGCATAACCCCCTCCCGTGGTTGACAGAGTTTGTCTGATCAAAGCATCTTTAGTGGAAAACCACACTCACCACAGGGCTATTTTCACACACCCAAACTTCGGAATACATTTTTTTTCCAGAGAGGACTTCTCTGGGACAAAGTAACACTTTTACATCCCACTGCTGGTCTGGGCAGTCAACTCCCTGATGTCTCGGTTTCTGAACATACCTTGGCAAACTCCAAGAGGAGTCCAGGCGAGAGGAATGGTCCTGTGTAGGCAGAGACGCCCCAGGCAGTGCCGGAGCTGAGCTTCCCAGGCAGACCCTGTTGCCCTGGATCTCACCCCGGGTCTAGCCCTGCTGGCAGACCTGTGAGGTGTTCCTGAATTGGGTTCAGATGTCCCCCCAGACCAGCCCTCTTACAGGCAAAGCCTGTCCCAATGCTGGCCCGTACCTGTTGTCACAGGACCTGAGCTTTAGGGGATTTCGCAATTTCAGATGAGGAAGCTGATTAATGAGTGGCTCAGAACATGGAGGACGCTGGGAGCAGAGCCGAGCAAGGCAACCTGCAGCCCGTTCCTGCCCCATCAGATGCGCCTCGGGGCTTGGGGCTGCACGTAGTCACACGCAGTACACACACACACCACACATACATCACACACCACACACACACTACACACACATCACACACCACACACCACATACACACACCACATACCACATACACCACACACCACACACAGTACACACACACCACACACCACACACACATCAAACACCACACACACTACACGCACACCACACACCACATACACACACACCACACACATACCACACACCACACACACCACACACACCACACACCACATACACACACCACACGCACCACACACCACACACTACACACCACACACACACCACACATACATCACACACCACACACACACTACACACACATCACACGCCACACACCACATACACACACCACATACACCACACACCACACACAGTACACACACACCACACACCACACACACATCAAACACCACACACACTACGCGCACACCACACACCACATACACACACACCACACACATACCACACACCACACACACCACACACCACACACACCACACACCACATACACACACACACCACACG
>NC_000022.11:10834643-10874572 GCF_000001405.40 Homo sapiens
GATCTGCGCACCTTGGCCTCCCAAAGTGCTGGGATTACAGGCATGAGCCACCGTGCCCAGCCTATTTTTATTTTCTAAATTGAAATGGACAAAATTGAATTTTTCTCAAAGTATTTTAGATACCTTGAAATGACTAATATTTTAGTGATTAAGGATTATTATAACTTTTTATTTCTCAAAATATATATGAAATAATTGAATAGTGCATTCAAGTAATCTGTAGAACAAAGTTTGTATTTTATATTTTGGTGGGAGGGAGAAACCAGTTAATTTTCCCCTCTTAACTTCAGAAAGCATACTTGTTCAAATGTTTATAGATCATTTGTATTTTTCTATACTTTAGAAAAAAATAGTTCTATATTCTCTATTTTAGGGTATTAACTCTCAAGAGAATAAAGGTTGTTTCAGAAATCAAACCATCCATATTAAAACAGATACTTAAAATGCTATTTGACAGCAGTAACTATAAAATGGGCACTTAATATGAACTCATTCATTGATTCTTAAGAACAAAGACTCTAGGTAAGATATAGCATGCACATATATGAGTTAGTTTTAAATGTGCAGTACACCTGGCTAGGGAAATATATAAAGGTTCTGTTTAAATCACATTGGGAATTGTGAAGTCTCAAACTACTTGGAGCCGAAAGAGAATTACACATTATACTCAAAGTGTTTATAATTCTGAAGGAGTACTTGTCTTGTATGGAAGCTTGGTTTATTTATTGAACTCAATTTAAATAATTAATGTGAAGATTGTGTTATGGAAAGGAAAAACATTTAAAAAAGTCCCTCTTTGGCCTTTGTATTTTTGCATTGGTATTTCTCTTTTTATTTTTATGTCATATATATATATATATACGCACACACACACACACATATGTATATATATATATATAGAGAGAGAGAGAGGAAAGTTTGAATTTACCTATATTAAAAGATCTTTTTTTCTCAGTGAATTTAATAACCATAATAATATTGAAGAATAATAATGCTATTATTTTTATGTCAAGGTAACAATACTTGCTATCATATATTTTCCATATCATTTTTGTTTTTGTCTTACTAGCTCTAGAAATGAATTTGTGCCTGTCCAGCTACTTCTTCTTTCATGGGTCTTTTTGTTGGGTTTGCATCCTGGTTCTTCCATTGTTGATCTTGCATAGGAATATTTTTGTAATTCACATTTTTTATTAATATGCTGCCTGCTTTTCTTTCCTACTTCTTTGAGTTGTTTCATAAAATACTTGTAGTGTCTTTTTAAGCTCTAGTAGAATGATATTAAATACAGTGACAAGCAAACAAATGAAATATAAAAAGGTAGAATATCAAGAAAATACAAATCCAATATGATTGCTAATGTGAAATTTCAGAATTGATGGGAGCTTCCTGGCAACATCAAGAAAAAAGGCTGAATATAAGCAATTTTGTAATTCTATTCACAAAGAAGCAAACTGTGTCCTGAACAGTTTTGCAAACTCTGTAGTTGGTAGTATTCTTTTCACACGTCTTTCTTGTCGTTCTTTTTAACAACAGTCATCTTGTCATTCTTTTTAACCCGGTCATCATGTGTGCACAGCTCATGTGACATAGTATAGTATCCTTAGTATCCTAACACACAGTAGAGTACCTAAAGTCAGAACTTTTAAGAGAGATACCTGTAAATTTGGGCATTACATCAGATAGTATTTTATTAAGTTTTGAAAGTTCTCAGCTTACTGCACCCTTGTTGTAAGTGGGGATGGATGATAAATCCACAGGTACATGCATTTTCTCAATTTGTAAATATTGTAAGTACAATTGCACCATGACAGGCATCAGCAAATTTTTTTTATATTAAAAAGCTTTTTTTTTCTTTTTAGAAATTCAGAGAACATAGAGAAGGAGGAACGCAAATGATCAGACTGTGTTTTGACGGAAAAGCTGAGTAGTTCACACATTATAGTCACAATTATCTTGGTAAAGTCACTCTCTGTGAGAGAAGGGGTGGAGGGCTACAGTGGAATTTTTAAGGTGTAGATAATATAATAACTAATGGACATTTGGATAAATCACAAATGGAGTTTAAATTACGTAGTGTTGTATAATAACATAGTATTTATATTTATTGCCTTAAGTTATATGGAACTTTCTTTCATTGTAATGGTCAGACAAAATTTATGATTCTGAGCTTAGTGTGGATAGCATGTCAACATATGGGCTTCGAAGTTAATAAAATAAGTTAATTCTACCTTCAAATAATGTCATCAAACTAAATATTCAATAGAGTCTGTCACAAATGATTTTGACTTGTTGGTCACTGTAGTGCTAGGTAAATTTTTTTCTGTCGAATATTTGGTTTTGAGCATTGCATCTTATCAGTAAATATTCTGTACTTGGTTATTTTCTGGAAATGGTAAATAAGTTAGGGTATGACTTATTAACTAAATAAACCATTCAGTTTGGAAAATACAGAAATACAGAAAATATTTAAATACAGAAAATCTCACTGTAGATTTGTCTAGTATAGTAAAATTTACTACCAGATAAGTTTACTGTGGATCTCTATTTGGGGTTATTTAATGTCTTCAAGATTCTGTATGAGGTGGCCCTTTGACAAAAGCTTGCAAATCAGATTTTAACAAAGTTTTTATATTTTATAATTATTACTAGACATTTTCTCATTGTTCTCTTAATCCCGTGTAGCAAGCAGTTAGTCTTCATGGCCAGATATTTGAAAATTTAGCTTTGAGTTCTCTCTTTCATTTATGAATATGATAGCATAATGGTTTTTATAATTTGCTATATCATAATAAAGTTCTAACTGATAAGAGAAAAAGTATAACACAACCTCCAAAATTAAAAATCACTTCAGAGGATTTCCAATACTTGTGTGGAGGGGTGAGCTCCTAACAAACTGATCTTCTCACAAATAACCATTTGTAAACTCTGCACATAATATAGATAACATCTATCTGAGGGTTGTGGAGATTGAATAAAAGCAGGCAAGCTTTGGAGCGTAATCAAAATATGGTACAGTCAGTCTACATGGACTGATATCCCCATTTTTTGCTTTTATAGGAAATTTTCTGGCCAGAAAGTTTCTCCATAATATTGTACAGAGTTATAGTCACACTGTTTAGCATATAATCCAAAAGTACTTATTCTAAAAATGGTCAGGAAAATGTGACTTATTCTCAAGGGAAGAGAAAATCATCATATACCAACTCTAAGATAACCCACATGTTGGAAATATCACATGAGGTCTATTGTAACTAGCGAGGTAGAGAAAAGTTTACTTATAATGAATTAAAAGATAGGAAGTACCAGCCGTGAAATAAAACAAAATCAGATGGCAATTCTAGAGCTGAAAAATATATCAGAATTAAAAATAGGCTCTATGGGCTTATTAGCAGAATTAATATTATAGAGAAGTAAATGAACTTGATTATAGATTGATAGAAAATCTGAAGAGAGTTATGAAAGATTGGGGTGAAAAAATAGAACCATAGAGATGTATGGGGGCAGTTTTGAAAGGTCTAATAGGCACAGTATAAGAGAAAGAGCCAGAAAAAATATTTGACTAAATGATGACAGAAAACTTTTCAGATTTGGTAAAAGGATTACGTTTATAGATTGAAGAAACTCTGAAAATTCCAACCAAAATAAATGCAAAGAGAACCAAAGTAGGCATTTACAGTCAAAGTGTGGAAAACCGAAGATAAAGAGAAAATCTTGAAAGCAGGCAGAGGAAAACTAGATACTGATAAGGGAACAATAATTTGAATTTCTGTACACATCTCATCAGAAAGCAGGGAAGCCATAGAGGTGGAACAAAATCTTTAAAGTTCTGAAAGGAAGAAAAAAATCTGTCAACCTAGAATTTTTTATCCAGTGAAAATATTCTTTAAGTCTTTTGAAAGAAAATTTTAAAAATTTGTTGTTATTTGACTCTCATTACTGACTAAAGAAGAAAACCTGGATGATTCAGTGTATATACATGTAATACATATGATAACTCACAGAAAGATTTGGGGAGAGGCTATAAATGCACCTATGTAGTTGAAAAGTTATGTATTTTGCAATGTGTCTTGATAGAATGTTGACTACAATTCAATGGCTAAAACAAAATTATCAAAGTCAAAATTGCATGTCTTTTCTTGAATGATAGGTATGTATCTGGTATTTCATTTACCCACAGCATATGCTGTAGACCCCTCTTTCAAATTAAAGATAACAAAAGCCCAATTGAAAGGAAAACAAAATACATCAATGCTAACTAAATACAAATAATTAGCCTTCACTAATTCATCCATTCATTCTTTTATTAAACAGTTGGGCACTGTTCTAGATGCTAGGGACATAACAATCAAACAAAACCAACAAAAACCCCTTGCCTGTATTTTGGAGAAGTAGGGTTTGCAGTATCATGGGAGAAGACATAACAAAACAAAAGAAAAATATATAGTGTGTATATGGTGATAAGAGCTATGAGACACACAAAGCAGGTAAAAAAGATGGAAGTTGATGCTAGCCAAGTGGATATCTGGGGAAGAGCTTTAAGGGTAAATGCCAGAGCAAGAATGAAGGCCATTAGCAGAAGCTTACTTCACAGATTAAAGAACACTGTGACTATGTTTTCCTGTGACTGTCACAGAAGGAGCAAGGGGGAGAGTCAAAGAAGATTAATTCAGAGAACAACTATATGCTTTCAGAGGATTGTTATGACTTTATTTTTGCTCTTGAGTGAGAGGGACAGCAATTGAAAAGTTTTGGGTGTACTGGCCTGATACCAATTTGAAAGGGATCACTCTGGTTACTATGGTAAATAGGGAGAAAAGGTGGAAATAGGGAGACTAGTTAGGGGGCTGCTGCAGTTATTTAGTGAAAGAGCTCTGGAAAGTATTGAGACTTGATTAGATTTTTGATAAAGCATATCTAAAATATCTAAGACTCTAAAAGGTCAGCTTTTGGATATACTTTGGAGGTAGTGCCAGTAGGATTTTCTGTCACTGTGAACATGGGGTAAGGGAGCAAGAGAGGACTGACAGGAGCAAGTAACCCCATGAATTTCAGCCTGAACAACTGAGCTGATGGAGTTGTCATTTACTGAGATGGGAGGACTATGAAGAAATAAGTTTTGGCAGAGAAGATCAAATATTAGGTTGTGGACATAGGTTATGGGCATAGTTGTTTGAGATGCCCAATAAACATCTAAATGGAAAAATGAAGTAAGTCTGGAGTTTAGAGGTGACATCTAGGTTGGAGATAGAAATTTGGCATTGGCAGGATATGGACAGGATTTAAAGGTAAAGGACTGGATTTACGTGCCAATGAAGTGAGTTCAGAGAAAAAGATAACTGAGAAATGAGTCCTTGGGAAAGCCACTGTTTGTAGGTTGAGGAGATGCAGAGGAAGCAGCAAAGGAGAAAGAGGAGAGCAAGGGAATAAGGAGAAAAAGCAGGAGAGTGTGGTGTTTTAACTTGACCTACTTGAAGTTAAATCTCCTTTCTTCATTGAGGATACTGTCAAATACACACAGGATAATAGATTAGAAAATCCCATGATTATACATAAAGAACAGCCTCAGAATAATAATATCAATAATGCCCAATTGTTATAATTACTGAAAATACAGTTAATTTGTTTTTGCATGCGTTCTCTTCATTCTCCCTCTTGCCATTTTTAAAATAGTTGAGGTATGTTACAAGGTGAATTATGTTCCCCTAAAATTCATTGAAATTCTCACCCTCAGTAGCCTGAAATGTGACTGTTTTTGGAGACGGGTCTTTAAAGAGGTAATTAAGATTAAGTGAGGTCATTTTGGTTATTGGGTCCTAATCCAGTATAACTGTATCCTTATAAAGAGGAGGAAATTAGGACTCAGACACATGCAAAAGAAAGACCATGTGAAGACACAGGGAAGAAAAGGTAGTTAGGTTGTCTTCAAACCAAGGAGAGAGTCTTCAGAAGAAAACCCTGCTTACACGCATATGTTAGACTTACAGCCTCCAGAACTATGAGAAAATAAACAACTTTTATTTAAGCCATCCAGACTCCGGTACTTTGTCATAGCAGACCCAGCAAGCTCATACAAGGTCTTATCTACATTGTGAGCACACACAGTTATTACATACCATTCTCTCTTAACTCTTATTTAATCATAGTCCTATAAGTACCTGTGTGTTTAGGGCTCATATTATTTCCTTATATTGATGTGTTTTGGCTGTGTTTTAGCTCTTTCTGTAGTAGATTCCTCAGGAAGAGTTCATGGAAACAGTATTTCTTGAGAAATGCATTTTGATACTAGTTTGTAAGGTGCTTTATATTTTTTACTTGAAAGTCATTTTGCCTGGCTATAAAATCCTTGACTTTTCTTTCTCTCTTTGGATGTCTTAAATATGCTACTAATTTTTCCCTGGCATGAGGTATTAGTATTGAAAGTCTGTTGACAATGTAATATCTTCTCCATTACAAGACACTCAGTCTTGTTAGATGTTCAAAGGACTTTTTTTTCTTTTTCCTTAAATCTAATAATTTTGGTAGATATGTCTTGGTGTTGGTCGTTCTGAGTTAATTTCTCAGGTATATGGTGTGCACTTTCATATGTAGTTTGCATCTTTTCATATTTTAAGAAATTGTTCTTATACTATACTTTTACAATTTCTTCTGTTTCCTTGCTTTGGTTTTCTTCTCCAGAGACTTGACTATGCAAGTTTATTTACTTTGCTTATCTTTAATATTCCTCTTAAATCACTTATTTTATTTCACTTTCTCTTAAATCTTTATCTCCTTCTTTATTTCTCTCTCATTTTTAAATTTAAAAGTAAAATAAAAATTACAGAAAAGCTACAAGCACTATGCCAGTTTTTTTCCTGAACTATGAGAGTAACTACTGACATGATGCTCCATCATTCCTGAATGTTATGTTGCTACAAACAAGAACATTCTTTCACATAATTATTCTGTAACATAAAATCAAGAGATTAGCAATGATTTGTTACTACCATTTAATTCTCAGACCCCGTTAAAATTTTGCTATTTGTTGTATATTTTATAGTAAAAAGATCCAGTTTACTGCGTTTACATTATAATGCATCAAACAGCTTCTCAGTCTTTCCTTCATTTTCCATATGGATGCCCTCTTAACCTGAGGCAGGTGTTGGCTTCTTTTCCGGTTACCTTCCGTCATGGATGCCCTCTTAACCCTTCCTCAGTTCTAGCACAATACACTTAGCTAGGCTGTTGAGCTGATGCCTTCCCTATATCCTTCTGGAGCCCCGGGTTTCTTTACCTCCTGCTGGGCAGCCCTCTTATTCAGATGCTACCTTCTCTCTAGAACTCTTGACACCCCACCCTGGCTTACTCCTTTAGGCAATGTGCTCCCTGCCCTGCTGGTGTTGTGCCTTCCCTTGCCTGGTTGCTTCCCTTTGTGCATATTTCTCATCTTCCTCAGGTTACAACAAACTGAGCCAGGCAACCCTCTGTGAGGATGCCCTTCTCTGGCTGCCCAGGCTCCAACATGTCAAGCCACACACCAAATGAATGATTTTCAACCCCCACTCTAGGTCCAGCTGCCTCCGATCGTTTGCCCTCTCCTCCAGGCAGAAGCCTTCTCACCCTTTTCAGGCTCTGAATCTCTACACAGAGAAGGCTTTAGTGTACCTAACCTTCCTTACCTTGCACATACTCAGAAACTTTATGTCAAAGCACAACCCACTTGCCTCTTCCTTGTTGTTTCAGGTAGACGCCTTATCACTTTTTTGGAATTCTGACTTCACGAACTGGGCAGCTCTCCTACCTACCCTTCCTACCCTTCTTATGCTCTGACATCCTGCAACAAATTGCACTATGTTGTTGGCTGTAGGTTTTTTATAGATGCTTTTTTTTTGGTAGTTAGAAGTTCCATTCTATTCCTAGTTTGTTCAATGCTTCTTATAAAAAGTGTTAGATTCTGTCAAAGACATTTTGTGTATCTGTTGAGATAATAATATTAATATGTTAATCAGTCTAGGTACAGGCTTGTTAGTAGTGTTGATCTTTTCAAAGAACTGGCTTTTGATTTTATTGTGTTTTCACAGTTGTTTTCTTATTGTCTATTTCATTAAGTTCTTCTATAATTCTTTTTATTTTTTTCTTTCTGCTTGTTTTACGTTTAGTTTGCTTTTTTGCTTCCAGGGTCATAAGGTGGGAGGTTTAGTTCTTGATTTGAAGTCCTCTTTTTAAATACAAACATTTACACGTATAAGTTTCTAAGTGCCTTAACTGCTTATATTTTGGTATTTGTGCCTTTGTTCATCTCAAAATATTTTGTAACTTCCCTTTTGATTATTTCTTCTTTGACACATCGGTTATTTAGGAATGTGTTTATTTCCACATATTTGTGAATTCCTCAAATTCCCATATACTATTGGTTTCTAACATTCCAGTTTGGACAGATCATATACTTTGTATTATATCTGTCTTCATACATTTATTGAGGTTTATTTTATGACCTGAGTTTGGTCCATCCAGGAGAATGTTTTGTGTGTACATATTTTTTGGAAACAGGGTCTCTCCTTCTGTCACCTAAGCTGGAGTGCAGTGGTGCAGTCCTAGCACACTGGAGCCTTAGACTCCTGGGCTCAAGTGATCCTCCTGCCTCAGCCTCCTGAGTATCTGGGACTATAGGCACAAGCTACTGTGTCTGACTAATTTTTCAGTTTTTTACAGAAACAGGGTCTTGCTAGCTCAGGCTAGTTTTGAACTCCTGGCCTCAAGTGATCCTCCTACCTCAGCCTCCCAAAGTGTTGGGATTACAGGCATAAGCCACTGAGCCCAGCTATGTGTACTTTAGAAGAATGTGTATTCTGCTGCTTTGGGATGGTGTGTTCTAGAGTTGTCTGTTAGTTCTGTTTGGTTTTTGTTCAAGTCTTCAGTTTCCTTCTTGATTTAATGAATGGAAAGTTGAGTATTGAAGTGCCCAACTATTATTGTTAACTTGTCTATTTCTCCCTTCATTTCTTCAGATGTTGCTTCATGTATTTTGACACTCTGCTGTTAGGTGCATATATGTTTACAATTGCTATATCCTCCTCATGATTGGCCCTTTTATCATTATCCAATGTCTTTTTAATATCTAGTAATATATCTTGTTTTAAAGTCTGTTTTGTCTGATATTAGCACAGCCATTCCAGCTTTCTTGTGATTTATTGATATTTTTCCCATTTAATTTACTTTAAATATGTTTTTATCTTTGAATATTCTATAAACAGTATGTTATTGAATCTTACTTTATTATCCAGTCTGACAATCTCTGCCTTTTGATTGGATTGGTTATTTCATTGATCTTTAATGTGTTTATTGATAGGTTTCCATGTGTCATTTTACTTTTTGTTAGCTATGTGTCTCATGTTCTTTTTATTTCTTTATTTCTTCTTTACCACTTTCTTTGGATTATGTGCTTATTTTCTTATATAGCATTTTCAATTTTTAAATAATTTTTTTTCACTGAAAAAAACATTTCCTTAGTGATTGCACTAGGGCTTACCATATACATCTTAACTCACTGGAATCAGCCTCAGATTTATACTAATTTTATCCTAGTGAGTTATATAAATGTTACTTCTATATAGCTCTATTTGTTTTCTCCATTTTTTGTGACATTGTTACACATATAGTATCTGTATATGTTACGAACCCAACATGACATAATTATTACTTCCTATAATTGTGTATTTTAAAGAAGCTGAGAGAAGAAAGGCGATACAGTATATGTTTGTAGATTTTATTATATTGATCTTCTGATTTATCATTTATGAATCTCTTCATTTGTTTCTGCGGATTCAGTTACCACTTGGAGTCATTTCCTTAGCTCAGTATAACTTTGCTTCCATCCACCTTCTTTGTTATGCTGAAGTGGTCCGTATTGAAAAGCATGCATAATACTCTACTCATTTGAGTATAATTGGTACAAAATATATTCATACCTTCTTTTCTTCTTTTAAAATAATTATAACAGTTTTAATGAAGTGTAATTTACATGCCATACAACTCATTAAGTGTACAAGTCAATTATTTTTTATAAACTTACAAAGTTGTGCAGATATCACTACAATTTAATTTTAGAACATTTCTATCACCCCAGAAGGATCCTACCTACCTATTTGCAATCACTCCTCATTCTCATCCGTGTCCTATTCATACAGTTTTAGATAACAATTCTTCCTCTGAAAATCCTTTTGAAAGAAATAATACAATAAATATTGATATTTATATAAAGGCTTATATTTTTATGTAAAATTTTTTCTTTTTAAATGTTTTTTAAAGTCAGGGTCTCACTGTGTCACCCAGGGTGGAGTGCAGTGGTATGATCATGACTCATTGTGGCCTCAAAATCCTGGGCTCAGTGATCCTTCCACTTCACCTCCTGAAGAGCTGGGACTACAGGCATGTGACACCACACTCGGCTAATTTTTAATTTTTTGGTAGAGATGGGGTCTCTCTCTGTGTTGCCCAGGTTGATCTCAAACTCCTGGCCTCAAGTGGTCCCCCACCTTGGCCTCTCAAAGTGCTAAGATTACAGGTGTGTGCCATTGTGCATGTCTGCCTTTATATATAAACTTAAAGACATAGAAATAATCTAATACTACAAATAAGGGGAGATAAGAAAATTAGTTTTATTTAATGGATTCCATGTTTATATTTAAATTACATTATACACTTTTTTAACCTGAAAGTGTTAGATTTCATTACATAAACTTGTTTTCCTCCTACAAACCAAAATAGGGTATGTTATGTATCATGGACTCAGAAAAACTAAGACCAATGTATTTCCAAATAAGAATAGGTTTTATTAAACATCTTACATTTCCACAAAAGTATTTTAAATCTTTTAAGATAATATATTAAAACTTGTTAATTCCAGTGTAAGCAAGATGAACAAAATGAAAGCAGGAGTTTTGTTCTAGACAATGGGATGTACAAATGTTTCAGCATTTGTAAAATGCAGACACAGAAAGCTGATTTAGTGTTTAACAACATATCTTGTGTGTTTTAATTCAGTCATTGTTTTTTTGAATGCAGATATGCTGAGTTCTTAAGCATTCTAGTGATAACACTACCCTCCTCGTTCAAAAAAAAAGTATTATCAATGAAATACTTCAGACTACAGCATACACAAATTTTTAATTATTCATGTTGCTCTTGTCTTGGCACATGCCTAATAATTAATAGTTTGCATCCAGTTTTGTATTAGTCTCTACACACTAGTCCAGAAGTAAAAACTGACATGATTGGTCTTCACAGTGTTAAAATGTTTTAATTAAATTGTAAAATATAGTGCTTTTAGATAAAAATTCGGATTTCATGTTTCTCTTGAAAAATATGGAAGAACTAGCAACACTGAACAATTGACTTGAACTGAGGAGTAGGGGCCACTTTTAGGAAGGACAAACATTCTCTAGTTTGAGGAAGTCCCCATCTGGCCAAATTCGCTTACATGCATATCTGTGTGCCTCCTGTAAGAACTTGAGTTTGGGACATTTGATTTAACCCTATTATAACATTGAGTGAGAAAACTGGAGCCACATCAGCTAAATGACTTCCTAAGCTGAGAAAGATTAGTGGCAGAGTCAGGATTTTAAGATGATTTCACTAGTGATACATTGAATATGGACTATAAATCAAAAGACTTAGAATTACATGCTGGCCCCTTCCCTTCTAAATCTTAATTTCTTAACATTAAGCTTTCATAGTTGTAAGTTGAAAGTAATAGTAATATTGATATGTGATGACTGCAAAGGTTAAATATCATTTATCATTATTAGACTCATATCTGCAGAGCAATTTTAACCACGTCTAACAATACCTTTCTTGTTATAGATGGCATATGTTTAGTTGTCTTTCATAAAAAGTAATAACATGTTTTAACAAACTTATCTTCTGAGTTTAGTATGTATATTGTGATATTATTGTTGAGTAGCATTGGTATTTCATAGGTTGATTTGCTTTTTAGTAAAGATATGAATATTTTTGCATATTAACTTTTTATAGCCTCAAATGATAGTCTTTTTTGTAAGTAATTCACATGTCAGGCACTGTTTATTTACATAAATACTTTTTAAAATATTAACAAGAAAAGTTAAACTTATGCTATGATGTAGTCAAGTACAATCCTATTATATATAAAATCAGGTTTGATATTTTTTTCTAATGAAATGATTTTGCCAGTAATCAAAAACTTTAAATTAGAAAATGAAGATCTGAGCATCTTTATTGGCATAATAAAACTTAACTCTCATTGAATTGAAGTGACTATAACGAAGTAAGTAACACCACTGAATAGTCCCTGACACATGAAAGGTACACAAGTACTTTCTTATTGCAAATGTTTCTCTGCTTTAAAACTTTGGCTTTTTAATTGTTGCTTTTAAAAACAGGGTTTACCTTAGTTTTATTTTTTCAGAGTACCTTCAAGTTTAAATCTAAGAGTGATATTCATTTGGCAGAACATCATAAACAGGTTTTATATGATGGGAAACTTGCAAGTAGCATTGCCTTTACATATAATTGCTAGGGCCACTGATACTCAACTCTGCCTGGAATCATCACCAAAAGAGGATGCATCAATTTTTGTGCATTCCCAACATGCTCTAATGCTTCCGGTGGGTGAATCATGGCTTTGTTTTCATGTTCTTGTCAGAATTTAACAATATTTTTATTTTATATATCAAACATTGCTCATCTATAAATCTGTGACTTTTTGTTTCTTTTTGGCTTTTGCAGATCTTTTAAGTGAAACTTTAAAGAATGTCTATCTTTTCTGTAGCAATATGCTCTACCCTGGCCTTGTCTCCTTAGTAGGAAATCTGTCATACCTATTATCTTATATATTATACAGCCTTTCAAATTAAATCAATTAACTGAATAAGTTAGTTGTTAGACATAAAAACATACTTTGCTTTAAGATTGTATTACTAATATTCTGTAACATTAAAATTACTTGTCTTTAAATCCATCAATAGTATTTCTGATTTTAAAATAACATTTGATTTTAACTTCATATTTTTAGTGTAAAAAAAAATCTTAGGTTGACCTAAGATTTGAAATTTAAAAGTGATTAGCAAAGGTACTCACTTTTTTGTCTTACATGTGTATAAAAATTATAATTGAGGGCTTAAAAAATTTCCAACTATGTTATTTAATTCCCTTATAAACGTATTTGGACCAAGGAAATAGTGATGAAAATCATTCTATAGAAGTTTAATAAACATTTTTGTTTTTAGACATAGGATGTGAAAGGGATAGTAACACATTCAATTCATAGTGCAATTCATTCAATTGGACAGATTCAAGTGCTTTTTCCACTGTTTCCCCAGTTGGATAATTGGCAGCTCAATGACAGTCAAGTGGAAACAACTGTCTGGTAAGTTTTCTTTACATGTACAATTGCTGGTATTTTATACACACTTAGACTATACATGATGTACTCAGTGCTGTGTAAATGTATTACAGTATTTGGGTTCTGCCCTTAAAGTGCTAATACATTTTTTAGAACTAATGCAGATAGATATTTATACAATAAATAAAGAAAACCCTGACATTTAGGTTGTTATACTATAAAGGAATGCCTTTTGTGACAATAAATAGAAAATCCTTAACAAAGATAGCATAGTGATTATAATATACTATGTTGAGGTAAAATATGAATCCTGACCTTATCATTTGCATATACTCATGGTTCGAATTGTCCATGAAACCCTGTCAGGTTGAAGAAAATTACTAGGGTAAAATTATTCAGAAGAATAATATTTATTAGCAATTACATAATTTATATCATAAAGACTGGTATTATTTTATGATGCTTTTGTCGTGGCATAAGTCTAGCATAATATTAATTGACATCAACCCTTATTTATATATAGTTTATGTTTGAGGACTCAAATCTAACTAGTGGCAAATCCAAGTTTATGTAAAAATTAAATCTCTTCTAATGAGTGTAATTTCATATGCATTTTTATAGCTTCTCTTTTATTTAAAGAAACCTTATGTGCCAGACTCTAATTTACTGTTATATCTTAGAATTATATATACAAGAATTTAAAAATGAACTCTAGTAGCTATTTTGACTATACACATTGCCATGCTTGGGGATTTTAATGGGCAAGTTATATAGATAAGCATTAATTTTTATTCCAAAAGTAACATAGTAGTGCTTCATCAGTATATATACATATACATGAGCTCCTTCATGGGTTATCTAATTTTGAATTGATGGTGAATCTAGTGAATGAAGGTATGGGAAAAATTTAAGGTACAATGAAGTGTAATACATGCTTTTTCTCATAATTATTATCTAAATTAGGTATTGATGAAATTCAATTTTAGTATTTCTAATAATATTATTTCTGTTTTGGGAACATCTTTATGTAAAGTATAAATCTAAATATAGATAAGGAATTTGTACATTTATAACATTACCTCCCGTCTACGGGTCTTGCCGCCGTTTATATCAATATAGTGTAAAGGTTGGAGTTTTGAAAGTAAAAAACTTTGATGTGAAAAGGAATCCTGAGGTTATGTCCTGCTGTGATACTATTTTGTTTGTGAGATCTCAAATAATCTAATTGGAAGGTAGCTCAGCTTAGTGGAAAAATCAAACTTAAAATTTCTTTCCTTTATTTAAATTCGAAATGTTTTGCTATTTATCATCTCAGTGAACTAAGACACATTATGATCAGTAATTTAAAATCTAGTCAGTACTATGAAAAGAAGTGGGAGATGAAGTAGCCACTAGAAAAATCCATGTATAATTTTTCTTATGAAATAATATGAAATACATATATTATCAAATCTTACTGCTAAAACCATATGTCATAGGTTATCTGGTTCATTAATACAAGATGCATGGTTACTTTTTACTGTCCTTCCTCAAAACTCATTTAATATGTATATCATATCTTGGTATTTAAATTGTATTTATTTCATCATGGAGATAAAAGAGAGTGTGAGGAGTCAGCATACTTATTTTCATTTTGATTTTAGTTCTTTTATATCATTCATCCTAATGTTTCCCTGTATTAACTAATTCCAACTTTTTCAGTGATGCCTATTACGTCTTTAGTTTCTTTCTTTATTTATTTAAGATGGACTCTTACTCTTTTGTCCAGGCTGGAGTGCAGTGCTGTGATCTCTTGACTCACTGCAACCTCGGTTTCCCAGACTCAAGCAATTCTCCTGACTCAGCCTCCCAAGTAGCTGGTGAGGCACCTGGGGCAGAGAAAAAAAAAAAACAAAACAAAAACCTCGCGTGCAGAGGAGTGGGGCCTGGGTCCCTCACAGACGAAAGTGCCTTCCCATCAGCCCCTTCGCTGGGCCCAGTGGACCCTGGCGTCCCTGGTTCCACCCCAGGATGCGCCTCAGGCCGCTAGGGGTACCTCAAGGCGGACAAAAGGCCCATGAGGGGAAGGTGAGGTTTGAGGGAGGATAGGTGAGGCACCTGTGGCAGGAAAAAAAAAAAAGCGCCACGGAGAAGGGGGGGCCTGTGTCCCCCATGCACGAAAATGCCTTCCCATCAGCCCCTGCGCTGGGCCCCGTGGACACTGGCAACACTGTTTCGAGCACAGTGTGTGCCTCGGGCCTGATAGGGGTACCCCAAGGAGGGCAGAAGGCCAATGAGGGGAAGGTGAGGGACCTGGGGCAGAGAGAAAAAAAAAAACGCACCTTAGAGAAGCGGGGCCTGGGTACCCACGGACGAAGGTACCTTCCCATCAGCCCCTGCGCTGGGCCCCGGCGACCCTGGCGTCCATGGTTCGAGTCAAGGGAGCGCCTTGGGCCGCTAGGAATACCCCAAGTCGGACAGAAAGCCCATGATGGGAAGTTAACGTTTGAGAGAGGAGAGGTGAGGCATCTGTGGCAGAAAACAAAACAAAACAAAACAAAACAAAACAACAAAAAAAAGCCGCGCCTAGGAGAAGCTGGGCCTGGGTCCCCCACGGAGGAAAATGCCTTCCCATCAACCCCTGCGCTGGGCCCTGTGGACCCTGGTTCGAGCCCCGGGTGCGCCTTGGGCCCGCTAGGGGTACCCCAAGACGGGCAGAAATCCCATGAGGGGCAGTTGAGGTTTGAGGAAGGTGAGGTGAGGCACCCGGGGCAGAAAAAAAAAAAAAAACCGCACCACGGAGAAGCGGAGCCTGGGTCCCCAACGGACGAAAGTGTCTTCCCATTAGCCCTTGCGCTGGGCCCAGGGGACCCTGGCGTTCCTGGTTCGAGACCAGGGTGCGCTTCAGGCCGCTAGGGGTACCGAAAAGCGGACAGAAGGCCCATGAGGGGAAGGTGACGCACCTGGGGCAGAGAAAAAAACCAACAACCGCGCCGCAGATAAGCGGGGCCTGGGTCCCCTACAGAAGAAACTGTCTTCCCATCAGCGCTTGCGCTGCACCCCGGGGACCCTGGTATCCCTGGCTCGAGCCCAGGGTGCGCCTCGGCCTGCTAAGGGTACCCCAAGGCAGACGGAAGGCCGATGAGGGAAAGGTGAGACACCTGGGGCAGAGAAAAAAAATAAAAAACTGCGGCGCCCAGAAGTGGCGCCTGGGTCCCCCACGGACCAACGTCCCTACCCATCAGCCCTACACTGGGCCCCAGAGACCCTAGCGTCCCTGGCTCGAAACCAGGGTGCGCCTCTGGACCGCTAGGGGTATCTCAAGGCGGGCAGAAAGCCCATGAGGGAAAGGTGAGGCACCTGGGGAAAAGCAAAAAAAAAAAAAAACAACAAAAGAACAACAACAAAAAATCACCGCAGAGAAGCAGAGCCTGGGTCCCCAAGGAAGAAAGTGTCTTCCCATCAGCCCTTGCGCTGGGCCCCAGGGAACCTGGTGTCCCAGTTTCGAACCCAGGGTGTGCGTCTGGCCACTAGGGGTAACCCAAGTCTGACAGAACGCCCATGAGGGGAAGGTGAGGTTTGAGGGAGGAGAGGTGAAGCAACTGTGGCAGAAAAAAATAAAAAACACCACGCCGCGGAGAGGGCAGAGAAAAAAAAAAAAAAAAAAAAACCCTGCCGCGGAGAAGCGGGGCCTGTGTCCCCCACGGACAAAAGTGTCTTCCCATCAGCCCCTGAGCTGGGCCCAGGGGACCCTGACATCCCTGGTTCAAGACCAGGGTGCACTTCAGGCCTCTTGGGGTACCCCATGGTGGGCAGAAAGCCTATGAGGGGAAGGTGAGGTTTGAGGGAGGAGAGGTAAGGCACCTGTGGCAGAAAAGAAAAAAAAAAACAAACCGCGCCACAGAGAAGCAGGGCCAGGGTCTCCCACGGACGAAAGTGCCTTCTCATCAGCCCCTGCGCTGGGCCCCGGGGACCCTGTCATCCCTGGCTCGAATCCAGGGTGCGCCTCTGGCCTGCTAGGGGTTACCCAAAGCGGGCAGAAGGCCCATGAGGGAAAGGTGAATCACCTGGGGCAGAAAAAAAACAAACAAAAAAAAAAACAAAAAAAAAACCGCGCTGCGGAGAAGCGGGACCTTGGTCCCCCACCAGTGAAAGTGTCTTCCCATCGACCCTTGCGCTGGGCCCCGGGGTCCCCGGCGACCCTTATTCGAGCCCAACACCTGCCTGGGGCCGCTAGGGGTACCCCAAAGCGGGCAGAAGGCCCATGAGGGGAAGGTGACCCACCTGGGGCAGAGGAAAAAAAAAACACGCCTCGGAGAAGCGGGGCCTGGGTCCCCCACGGAAGAAAGTGTCTCCCCATCAGCCCTTGCGCTGTGCCCCGGGGACCCTGGCATCCCTGGTTCGAGCCCAGGGTGTGCCTCGGGCCGCTAGGGGTACCCCAAGGTGGACAGAAGGCCCATGAGGGGAAGGTGAGGCACCTGGGGCAGAGAAAAAAAAAAAGAACTGCACCGCCGAGAACCGGGGACTGGGTCTCCCACGGACGAAAGTGTATTCCCATGAACCCTTGCGTTGAGCCCCAGGGACCCTGGCGTCCCTGTTTCGAGTCCAGTGTGCGCCTAGGGTGGCTAGGGATACCCCAAGTCGGACAGAAGGCCCATGAGGGGAAGTGAGGTTTCAGGGAGTAGAGGTGAGGCACCTGTGGCAGGTGTCCATCTGTAAACTGCTTATCCATGCGAGCCCTGATGTCCACCAGGGGCTGGATGTCCCCCTGGGGCTAGATGTTCGCCTGGAGCCTGGTGTCTACCTGGGGCCTGATATCCAGGAGAGGCTTAGTTATCCACCTATGGCCATCTGGAGCCAGATGCCCACCTGAGGTTTGGTGTAAACCTAAGGCCTGATCTCTACCTGGGGCTTGGGTGTTCATGTGGGGCCTGATGTCCACCTAAGACTATGTGTTCACCTGGAGCCTGGGTGACCATCTGGGTTATGACGTTCAGCTGGGGCCCAGAGTTCAGCTGGGGACTGGGTCAACCTTCTGCCTGATGCACACCTGGGGACTAGGTACCCACCTGGGCTCCCGTGTTCACTGCAGCCTGATGTCTTACCTGGGGCCATGTGTTTACCTAGGACCAATGCATCCACCTGGGGTCTGAGTGCCCTCATGGAGCCTGGAGTTTTCCTGGGGCCTGGGGTCTGCCTTAGGCTTAAGTGTACATCTGTGGCCTGATGTTCCCCTTGGGATGGATGTCCACCTGGGGACAGATATTCAGTAGGGGCCTGAGTGTCCACCTGGTTTGTGATGTCTACCTGGGGCCTGGTGTTCATCTGAGGTTTGATATCCACCTGGGGCCTGGACATTTGTCTGGAACCTGATGTACAGCTGGTGCCTGAAGTTCATGAATGCCTGGTGTCCCCCTGGGGCCAGGTAGTCAACACAGGGCCTGAAGACTTTCTAGAGTTCAGTGTTCACCTGGGGCCTGAAGTCCACCTAGGGCTTGGGTGTCCAAATAGGGCCTGGTGTCAGCTTGAGATTTGTGTATTTACCTAGGGACTGGTTTTCCACTTGGGGTTTTTTTTTACTTGGTTTTTGTGTTAATCTGGGGTCTAGTGTCCACCTGGGGCCTAGGTATCCACCTAGGGACTATTGTCCAGCTGGAGACTAATGACTACCTATGGCCTGGTAATCACCTAAGGCTTTGTTTCACTTAGGTACTTGGTGCCAAACTGTTGCCTGCTGTTCACCTGGGCTATGGTGTCCACCTGGGGTCTGGATGTCAGCCTGGGGCTTGTTGTATACCTGTATCTTAGATATCCAGATAGGGGTCTGTTTTCTACTTAGGTGCAGCAGTCCATCTGGTGCTTGAGTGTCGACCTAAGGCCTGATGTCTATGTTGGACCTAGGGTTCACCTGAGGCCTGATATCCACCTGGGGCCTCAATGTCCAAATGTGGCCTGATGCCCATCTGGGCGCTGGGTGTCCACCTGCAACATGGATGTCCACTGGTACTTTATGTCCACCAGGGGCCTAATGTCCACCTAAGACCTGGTGTTCACCTGGGGTCTAATGTTCAGCTGAAGACCGGATGTCCACCTGGAGCCGAGGAATCCACCCAGGGACTGGTGTTGAACTGGGGCCTGATGACTACCCGGGGACAAGGTACACACCAAGCTTGATGTCCACCTGTCACCAGATGTCCACCTGAGTCCTGATGTCCATCTTGATCCTGGGTGTCCACTTTAGGCCTGATGTCCAGCTGGGGCATAGGTTCCCACTGGGGGCTTCCTGTTAACCTGGGGACTGGTGTCATTCTGGGGCCTAATGACCACGTGGGTTGTGTTATTCACCTAGGGCCTGGTGTCCACTTGGGGCTTGAGTGTAACCCTGGACCTGGCACCCACATAGGACTTGGGTATCAAACTGGCCCCTTGGTGTCCAGTTAAGACATCATGTGAACCTGGTGCCTGAGTGTCCACTTGGGGCCAAATGACTACTGGGGGCCTGAATGTCAACCTAGAATCTGAGGTTTACTAGGGGCCTAGGTATCCACCTGGGGCCCAATGTCCACCTGAGCCTGGGTGTCAACCTGGGGCCTGGTGTAAACCTCTAGTTCAGTGTCCACCTTGGGCTTGATGTCAACCTGGAGCCTGATGTCCACCTGAGTACTGATGTCCATCTTGATCCTGGGTGTCCACTTTAGGCCTGATGTCCAGCTGGGGCATAGGTGCCCACTGGGGGCTTCCTGTTAACCTGGGGACTGGTGTCATTCTGGGGCCTAATGACCACATGGGTTGTGTTATTCACCTAGGGCCTGGTGTCCACTTGGGGCTTGAGTGTAACCCTGGACCTGGCACCCACATAGGACTTGGGTATCAAACTGGCCCCTTGGTGTCCAGTTAAGACATCATGTGAACCTGGCGCCTGAGTGTCCACTTGGGGCCAAATGACTACTGGGGGCCTGAATGTCAACCTAGAATCTGAGGTTTACTAGGGGCCTAGGTATCCACCTGGGGCCCAATGTCCACCTGAGCCTGGGTGTCAACCTGGGGCCTGGTGTAAACCTCTAGTTCAGTGTCCACCTTGGGCTTGATGTCAACCTGGAGCCTGATGTCCACCTGAGTACTGATGTTCACCTTTGACCTGATGTCCACCTGTGGACTGTTTATCCACCCATGGCCTGATGTTCACCTGGGGCTGAATGTCCAACTGTGACCTGTTGTGCACCTGGAACCTAGGCATCCACCTGCAGCCTGATGTTCAGCTGGGCTGGGACCCGGAGTTCACCTGAGGCATGATGTCCACCTGAAGCTTGATGTTCACCTGGGGGCTGGGTGTCCACTTGGGGCCCAATATCCACCTGGAGACTAGGTACCCACCTGGGATCTGGTGTTCCCTCAAGATTGGTGTTCAGCTGTGGCCTAATGACCACCTGGGTCATGGTGTCTACCTTGGACTGGGTGCTCACCTGGAGCCAGTGTTCACTGGGGGCCTAGTGTGCACCTGAGACTGGGGGATGCACCTGGGGTCTGATGTCTACCTGGTGCCTAGGTATCCATTTGGGGCCTAATGTTCATCTGGAATCTGATATCCACCTGGGGCCTTGTAATTACCTGGGGTCTGGGCATCCACCTAGGGCTTGAGTATCCTTCTGGGGCCTTGAGTTTTACTGGGGACTCGTGTCTGCCTTGGACCTGGGTGTACATCTGTTGCCTAATGTACACCTTGAGAGTGATGTCAACCTGGGGACAGTTGTCCTCTTGGGGTCTGAGTGTGTACCTGGTGCCTGATGTCTGCCTGGGGACTTGTGTTCACTTGAGACCTGATATCCACCTGGGGCCTGGGTGTCCACGAAGGGCTGATGTTCAGCTGGAGACTGGATATCCACCTGGGGCTTAGGGATCTATCCAGAAACTGATGTCAAACTGGGACCTGATGTCTACTACCTGGGGACTAGGTATCCATGTGAGGCTTGATGTTCATCCGCGGCCAGACGTCCATCTGATGCTTGATGTCCGCCTCAGTCCTGGGTGTCTACTGGAGACCTCATGTCCAACTAGAGCTTAGGAACCTACTGGGGGCCTCGTGTAAACCTGGGGACTGGTATGCAGCTGGGTCCTAATGATCCCCTGGGTCATATTATTCACCTAGGGCCTGGTGACACTTAGGGCTTGAGTGTCAACCTTAGGTCTTGTGTTCATCTTTGACCTGGTGTCCACCTGGGACTTGGGTATCGACCTGAGGACTTGGTGTCCAATTGAGGTGTCATGACCACCTGGGGACTGAATGTCAATCTGGGGTCTGATGTAAACCTCTAGTTCAGTATACACCTGGGCATGGTCTTCACTTGGGGCCTGCTGTCTACCTGGGCCTTGCTGTCAACCTGGGGCCCGATGTAAACCTCTAGTTCAGTATCCACCTGGGGCCAGATGTCTTCCTAGAGACTTATATTCACTTTTGACCTGATGTCCACCTGGGGACTTGCTATGCATCCATGGTCTGATATTCACCTGGGGACAGATGTTCAACTGTGGCCAGAAGTGCACCTGGGGTCTGGGCTTCCACCTAGAGCCTGATGTTTAGCAGGGGCTAGAGTTTACATGGAGAATGATGTCCACCTGAAGTTTGATGTTTACCCGGGACCTGATACCTGCTTGGTGCCCAAGTATTCTCATGTGCCTAATGTCCACTAGTTGGCCTGGTGTTCATCTGAGGGCTTGGTGTCAACCAGTGGCTTTACGTACACCTGGATTCTAGTGTCCTCGTGGGGCCTTATGACCACCAGGAGTCTGGTGTACCCCTGGGGTCTAGTATCCACCTGGAGTCTGGGTGTCCACCTGGAGCCTAATGTTGAGGTTAGACTGAGTGTCAGCCTGAGGCCTGATGTCTACTTAGGGCATAGGTATTCACCTGGGGCTTGTTGTTTACCTGGGGACTAATGTCAACCTTGAGCCTAGGTATCCACCTGGGGAATAGTATCCAGTTGCAGCCAGATGTCCACCTATGGCCTGAAGCATGGTTGTTATCCTAAGACCTTGTATTAGTCCATTTTCACACTGTTATAAAAAACTACCTGATATTGGGCAACCTATGAGGAAAAGAGGTTTAACTGACCCACAGTTCTTCAGGCTTAATAGGGAGCATGACTGGGCATGCTCGGGACACTTACAATCATGATGTAAAGCCAAGAGGAAGCAAGCCCTTTTTACCATGGGGGAGGAGGAGGGAGAGAGAAGGGGGATGTGCTACACACTTTCAAACAAACAGATCTCATAAGAACTCTATCACGAGAACAGCAAGTGGGAAGTCTGCCCCCATGATTCAATCACCTCTCACCAGGCCCCTTCTTCAACCCATGTGGATTACAATTCAACATGAGATTTGGGTGGAGACATAGAGCCAATATCAGGCCTGATGCCCACCTGGAGTCGTGTCTACCTGAGGCCTAATGTAGACATGAGGCCTGGGCATCCACCTACGACCTCATGTTAAGATAGGGGCTGGAGTTCTTTTGGTGTCTAGTGTATACCTGGGGCCCAGATGTAAAACTAGAGCCTGATGTTTCGGATGGAAACCTGGGCCCCAGGTGCTCATCAGATCCTAGGTGAAAACTCAGGCTTCAGGTGCACGTCAGACTCCAAGTGGACACATAGGCCCCAGGTTGACACTAAGATTTCAGGTAGACTCTGGGTCCCAGAAAAACACCCCGCCCTAGGTGGACAGCTGAACCTGAGTAGACTTCAGGCCCCAGATTGACATCTGGCCCCAGGTAGATTCCTAGGCCCAAGGTGAATACTCAGTCTCCAGCCCTAGGGGAATTCAGTCTTAGGTGACTAAGGACTGGTGTTCCTCTGGGGCCTCATGTCTACCTGGGCCCTGGGAGTGCACATGGAGCCAGATGTCTATAAAGGGCCTGAGTGTCCACTAGGGCCTGAGGTTCACCAGAAGCATACACACCCACCTAGGACCTCGTGTTCACCTAAAACCTGGTGTTCACCTGGGGCCTGGGTGACAACCTGGGATCTGATGTTCACCTGAGGCCCAGAGTTCAGCTGCTGCCTATGTCAGCCTGGCACCTGATGCACACGAGAGGACTAGGTGCCCACCTGAGGACTGGTGTTCTTGGGGAACTGGTGTTCAACTGTGGATTGATGACCAACTGGGTCCTGGTGTCCTCCTGGAACCTGATGTCCACCTGGGACTGCATGCTTACCTAGGGTCTGGTGTTCCTCTGGGACCTGGTGTACCCCTCAGACCTGGGGTCCACCTGGGCCTAGTATCCACTTGGGGCCTCATATCCATCTGGAACATCATGTCCATTTGAGGCCTTGTAGTTACCTAGGGACTGGGTGTCCTTCTGACCCTTGAGTGTCCTCCTGGGGCCTGGGGTTCTCCTGGGGCCTGGGTGTACATCTCTGGCCTGATGTCCACCTTGGGATGGATGTCCACCTGGGGACAGATGTTCACTTGTGGCCTGAGTGTCCATCTCGTGTCTAATGTCTACCTGGGGCCTGGTGTTTGCCTGAGGCCTGATATCCACCTGGGGCCTGGGCATCCATTTGAGGCCTGATGTCTACCTAAGACCCGGTGTTTAAGTGGGGCACAGACTTCTTCCTGGAGCCCGACATTCATCTGGAGCCTGAAGTTCACCTATGCCTGTTGTCTACCTGAGGCCTATGTGTCAACCTAGGGCCTGAAGACCACCCTGAGTTCAGTGTTCACCTGGGGCCTGACATCTGCCTAGAGTCTGGGTGTCCACATAGGGCCTGATGATGGCTTGGGACCAAAGTATTTACCTAGGGCCTGGGTGTCTACTTAGAGCCTGACTTCTACATGGTTCATTGTGTCAACCTGGGACCTGATGTCCACTTAGGGCCTAGGTAAGCTCCTTATGACTAAAGCCCACATGGGGGCTGAAACCAGCTCACACCTTGTGTTAACCTAGGGCTTAGTGTCCACCTGAGGCCTGCCTGGGACCTAGTGACCCCCTGGGGTCAAGGTATCCACCTTGGGCCTGATGACCAATTGGGGCTTAAGGATCTACCTAGAGACTGGTGTCAACCTGGAACCTGATGTCCACTTGGGGTCTGGTGTACACCTTGGGCCTGATGCCCACCTGGGCATGGGTGTACACTTTGGGCCTAGTGTGCACCTGAAGCCTGGGTGTCAACCTGGGTCTTGATGCACACCTTTAGTCAGGTGTTTAATTGGGGCCTGATGAAATACTGGAGCCTGATTTACACCTGTGTACTGGGTCTCCACCTGGGGCCTGATGTCCACCTGCAGCCAGATATCCACCTGGCACCAGAGGTCTACCAGGAATCTGGGTGTCCACCTTGAAAATGATGTATTCCAAGAGACTAGGCATGCACATTGGGCCTGGGGTCCACCTGGGTCCTGATGTCTACCTGAGGCTGGTATTGAACTGGGGCCTGTGTGTTCACTTGGAGCCTGATGTTCATTTGGAACCTGGTGTTCACCTAGGACATGGGTATCCACCTGGATCCTGATTTTCAGGTGGGGAGTGGCTATAGACCTGGGACCTGATGGCCACCTATGCTATAAGTAACCCAACCACCTGGGGCCTGGTGTTCACCTGTGGCCTGATATCCACCTGGTACCTGTGTGTCAATCTAGTGCCTGGTGTTCACTTGAGGACTAGGTAGACACCTGAGGCTTGGCGTTCACCAGAGACCTGGTGTTCATCTTGCACCCAGTGTCCACCTGGACCCTGTGTATCAACCTGTGGCCTAGGTGGCCACTTGGAGCTTTATGTGCACCTGGGGCCTGAGAGTTTCCTAGGATCTGATGACAACTGGGGCCCAGCGATCCACCTGGGACATCAGGCTCCAAGTGTACGCCCAGGCTCCATATGGGAACCAGGCCAGGAGAATGCCAGCCCTTATGTGAACATCAGGTCCTAGATGGATGCCCAGGTCCCATATGTACATCAGGTCCCAGGTATACACTGGACTCCAGGTGGACACCAGCACTCAGTTGGATACACACACTCAAGGTGGACACCAGGCCCCACGTGAATTCCTACACTCCAGGTGAACATCAGGTCCCAAGTGGATACCTGGATCCCAGGTGGATACCAGTCTCTAAATTAATACCAGGCCTCAGATGGTCCTTCGGAGCCATGTGGGCATTAGTCGTCAGGAAGTTACCTAGGCCCAAAGTGGACATCAGGCCCCATGTTGACACAAGATCCAGTTGGAAGTCAGGCCCCAGGTGGACACCCAGGCCCTAGGTAAATACTTAGGTTCCAAGTTGACAGCAGGCCCTATGTGAACACTCAGAACTCAGGTGGACATGAGGCCTCAGGTGGACATCTGAGTTCATCTGGAACCTCGTGTTACAGGCCCCATGTAAACACCGGGCCTTAGGTGGATACCCAATCTCTAGGTGGACATCAGAGCTCAGATTGACACAAAGACCCCAGTAGACATAATGTACCAATGAATATCCAGGCCCCTGGTAAATACCCAGGCCCCACATTGACACGAGGGTCTATGTGGACACACAGGCCCTGGGTAGAAAACAGTCCCAAGGCGGACACTGGACTGGACATCAGGTCCCAGGTTGACAACCATGCTTCAAGTTGACACCAGGCCCCAAGTGAACATCTGGCCCCAGCTGGACACTAGTCCTCTTGTGAATACCTAAGCTCAAGGTTGACATCAGGCCCCATGTGAACACTAGACCCCAGATAAACACTTATGCCCTAAGTGGACATCAGGCCTCAGGTGGTTACCCAGTCCCAAGGTGAACATCAGGACCGCGATGGGCACCAGTTATCAAGTGGATTCCCAGGCCCCAGGTGAATATCAAGCCCTAGGTGGATACCAGGCCCCAGGTGGATACCAGGATCCTGGTAGACATCAGGTCCCAAGAGGACCCTAGAACCCAGGAGTACATTAGGCCACATTAACACAAAGGCCCCAGATGAATACCAGGCCAATTGTGGACATCAGGCCTGAGAAGGGTCCTCAGGCTCCAGGTGGACATCAGGCGCCAGGTGAACATCCAGCACTCAGATGAACATTAAGCTTCAGGTGGACATCATGCCTCAGGTGAACTCCAGGCCCCAGCTAAACATCAGGCCCCAGGTGGATGCCCAGGTTCCGGGTGCACATCTGGCCACAGTTGGACATTCAACCCCAGGTGACCATCAGGCCATGGGTGAATACACGGTTTCCAGGTGGACATCAGATCAAAGGGGAACATCAGTCCTCCAGTGGACATCAGGCCCAAGGTGAACACTGAACTAGAGGTTTACATCAGGCCACACGTTGACACCTAGTCCCAGGTGGACATCAGGCCCCAGGTGGATACCTAGGCTCCCAGTGAATTTGACACCAGGTTGACATTCAGGCCCCCAGTGGTCATCTGGCCTCATGTGAACACTCAGACCCCAGGTGCACATGATGTCTCAACTGGACACCAAATCCCTAGTTTGATACCCAAGGCCCAGGTGGACACCAGGTCCAAGGCTGACACTCAAGCCCTAAATGAATACCAAATTCTAGGTGAATAATTCAACCCAGGTGTTCATTAGGACCGAGCTGGATACCAGTCCCCAGGTTAACACAAGGCCCCCGGTGGGCACCTAGGCACCAGCTGGACATCAGGTCCTATGTAAACACCCGGGTCTCAGGTGAAAACCATGCCCCAGGTGGACATCAGGCACTAGGTGGACACGGGGCCACAGGTGGACATCTAGCCATTGGGCGACATCCAGCCCCAGGTGGACATAACCGTTTCCATGGATAAACCATTCCCAGGTGGATATCAGGCCTCAAGAGGATGGCAGTCACCAGGTAGCCATCAGGACTCAGATAGACACCAAGGTCCCACATGTACAGCAGGCCCCAACTGAACCCCAGACTCATGTGGACATCAGGCCACAGGTAGACACCAAGCCTTAGGTAGATACCTAACTTCAGGTGGACATCAGACCCCAGGTGGACACCCAGTCCCCGGGTGGGCAATCAGGCCCCAGGCCCACATCAGGCCTTAAGTGGACACCCAGGCCCCAAGTTGATATCCAGCTCCCAGGTGATCACCAAGCCCCAGGTAGACACCAGCCCATAGGTGAGCAACAGGATGCGGTAGATCATCAGGCCACAGCTGGATACCAGTCCCCGGTGAACACAAGGCCCCAGTGGGACACAGATCTAAGGCAGACATCAGGCCCCAGGTGGACATACAGGCCTGAGGTGGAATTCACCCTGAGGGGGACATTCGGCCCCAGGTGCGCATCAGGCCTCAGGTGAATAACCAGTCCCCAGGTGGACATTAGCCTGCAGGTCAACCACAGTCCCCAGGTTGATACCTGATCTCCAAGTGGCTACCCAATCTGCAGGGTAACATTAGGCCCCTGTAGGATCCCAGGCTGCAAGTGGATTCCTAGGCCCCTGGTGAACATCAGGTGCAGTTGTCCAAGCAGGTCCTGGGTGGACATAACTGTGTACAGGTAAGGAGTTGACCTGTGGGGAGGGTGAGCAGTCAGCAGCCCACTGGGGTCCTGAGAAGGTTTTCTGGAAGGAGGAGGCCGAGGGGATGGAAACTTAAAGAAGCGACCTCACTTCCTTGCCAACAGACCCTAACAGAACTAAGAATTCTGGTAACCAGGCCAGGCACATTGGCTCACACCTGTAATCCCAGCACTTTGGGAGGCTGAGGCAGGAGGATCATGAAATCAGGAGATCAAGACCAGCCTGACCAACATGGTAAAACCACATGTCTGCTAAAAATACAAAAAACAAACAAGGTCAGCAAATCGAGACCATCCTGGCTAACACAGTGAAACCCCGTCTCTACTAAAAATACAAAAAGTATCCGAGCGTAGTGGTGGGTGCCAGTAGTCCCAGCTACTCGGGAGGCTGAGGCAGGAGAATGGCATGAACCCGGGACGCGGAGCTTGCAGTGAGCCAAGATCTCGCCACTGCACTCCATCCAGCCTGGGCGACAGAGCGAGACTCTGTCTCAGAAAAAAAAAAAAAACGAAAACAAACAAACACAAAAAAACTAGTCAGGTGTGGTGCTGTGTGTCTCATGTCTGTAATCCCAGCTACTCAGCAGACAGAGGCAGGAGAAGTGATTGAACCCAGTAGGCAGATGTTGCACTGAGCCGAGATCATGCCACTGCACTCCAGCCTGGCCAACAGAATGAGACTATGTCTCAAAAAAAAAAAAAAAAAAAAAAAAAAAAAAGAATTCCGATAACCAGGCACCCACATCCTAGAGTTAGCCCCGTAGCCAGCTCACTTGGTGGGAGACGCTCAAGAGAGCAAGATGTTCTTGTGCTGCATCCCCACATCTCCAGGCTCTGGCTTCAGGAATGGCAGGAGTGAGAGCCTTTCTTTGCTGATGACGCCCTTGTAGGCTCATCCCTCACCCCAGATGCCTCTGGCCATTTGGCAGAAGCCCCCCCCGACCCCCCCCCACCAGGTACCACAGGACAGGAGTCACCAGGTAGACATCAGGCCCCAGATGGAGCTAGCAGGCCAGGCCTCACCAGTGATCCCACCAGGGCCACATCTGCACATTGTCCTTTTCCAGCCGGAGCCTCTGGAGCTCATTGAGACACAGGCACATGGTGAGGTCACCTGCAGTCTGGAAGTCTTTCCAGGGACAATGTTTTCAGGCTGAAATTCCTTTAAATTCAATGAGGTTGTTTTCATGTTTGTAAATTCCAGTGGAAAGCGAGTGATATTGGTGACCTCTCTCCTTTTTCAGCTCCTGCTTCAGGTGCAGAAATACAGCTATTTCCAGTGCCAGCTGTTGAGCCAGTGCCAGCACCAGGGGCAGATTCCCCTCCAGGGACAGCGCTGGAGCTAGAGGAAGCTCCAGAGCCCTCCTTCTGCTGCCCTGGGACTGCCCAGGACCAGCCCAGTGAGGAGCTGCCTGACTTCATGGCACCTCCTGTAGAGCCACGGGCCTCAGCCCTGGAGCTGAAAGTGTGGCTGGAGCTAGAGGTGGTAGAGAGGGGTGACCAGCACAGCTCCAGCCAGAAGCTCCCACACTGCTCCCAGTCCTGGGCACAGTGGAAGCTATGGAGGCAGAGACCAGGATGTGCAACCTGGGCTCCTCTGCCTCACTGAAGAGGGACTTCTCTCATTCAGCAGAGCAGCAGCCCTGCTGCTGAAGAGCCTGCTGCTACTGCTGCTGGGGGTATTTGCATGCCTGCAGGAGGTGCTGGAGAGCAAGAAAAGGAGCCTGTGAGCAGGGGTTCCAGCAGGTCCTCCTGCTCCCAGAGGCGACCTCCTCCTCCAGGCATGGAGGTTTGCCCTCAGCTAGGCATCTGGGCCATTTGCCTCTACTGTGCTGCCCAGGATGGCCTCTTCTTGACAGGCAGATAGGATGGCCTCTTCTTGACAGGTGGAGGGGGCCAGGGGCATCTCCAAAGGAAGCTTTTAAACTCAGCAGATTCACCCCAGAATCTCCATGCCTGCACCTGCCCAAGGATTTATTCATAGCTTAACTAAGAATTTCAAATTTCTCCCATTAACACTGAAATAAAGTTTGACTTTTTGAAACTTCCATGACTTCTTTCCCTCCCTAATATTGTAGATGGTGTTTTTGAGGCGATGTTGAAAACCTCTGATAGTTGCATGTTTTGTTGTGTTTTTTTTCTGTGATTAAATTGCCATCTGATCAAGTGATATTGAAAACCCTTCAGGTATGGCTTTTAGAAGACTTTGACCTATTTTTGCTTTTGTTGACTCTCCCTCCAGCTTTGCGGAAAGAGGGATCATGTAGGTTCATTTCTCAGGCAGATCAGTCACCTTTTGCCATCAAAGTTTTAGCATCCATTTCCAAAATTTGGTGTACAAGTTGGTATTTTGGTGTTTTTAGCTAATCTGGGGTCAAAACAGAATGCCATAGATGAGGAAGCTTGTAAACAAATTTCTTTCTCTCAGTTCTGGAGATGGCAAAATTCAAGATCAAGTGGTTAGCAGATTCCAAGTCTGGTGTGGGCTTGCTTTGTGATTCATAGACAGCCATGTTTCTACCATGTCCTCACATGACAGAAGGGATGAGGGAGCTCTCTATGGTGCCTTCAATAGGGGCTACTAATCCCACTCATGTGGTCCCTACCTTCATGATCTAATCATTCCCCAAGGCCCTACCTCCAAATATCATCACATAGGGAATTAGATTTCAACCCTTGAATTTGAGGGGGACAATAACATTTGGTCTATAGCATCAGGTTACCCAGAGCCTTATGCAATCAGAGGAAATCCAAAATCACCTATAAGTATTCGCTGCTCCCCTCTGGGCTTAGGGAAATCTTTAATTGCAGCTCTTGATTCAGCTTGGTCCAAGCTTAACTTCTACATTTGCCTGCATAACTTGTTCATGGGACAGAGGGAAGTATAGAGAAAACTGACCATTTGGAGTTTTAGGACAATTGATGGAAGAGGGCTTGGCATCTGGATGAGAAGTGGAGGGAGAATAGAACAAAGGCACAGAAGGAGAGAGCACAATGAGAAAGGGAAAGAGGGACATCTGGACATAAGGGCCAACTGGAGGGCAGGGAAGGTAATTTTCCTTACATTTTAAACTCAGACCACATATCACATCAGAATCACCTGAGGGAGACATTTTCAATGCATATTCCTGAGTTTCTTCTCTTGGAAATTTTTATTTCTTAAATCTTGAGTTGTGCTGATTTATCCATATTTATCATAAGAATTTTAGATAATTCTTACTTTGGGAGGCCCAGGCAGTGGATCACTTGAGGTCAGGAATTCAAAACCAGCCTGGCCAATATGGTGAAACCTCATCTCTACTAAAAATACAAAAATTAGCCAGGCATGGTGGTGCACGCGTGTAGTCCCAGCTACTTGGGAGGCTGAGGCAGGAGAATCACTTGAGTCAGGGAGGCAGAGACGACAGTGAGCTGAAATCATGCCACTGCACTCCAGCCTGGGCAACAGTGAGACTCCGTCTCAAAAAAAAAATTGTGGATAATTCTGATGCAGTTAGAAAACAAAGCAGAGCTTGACAGCCACTGGGTTGAGACGTATATCAAGAAGACATTTGATTATGTAAAATAACTGCAAAACAAACTGAAGGGGAATTATTTTAAAATGCTTGAATATAATTATATAATTCAACTCTTCCTATGTACATAGTTTGACCACATATTTCATGTCTGCTATACTGAGATTGGAAATGTGTAGAGGTTTTTTTAAAAATCAGGTAGAAGCACAGAAAAAAGGAGTTGGAGAGAAAAGAAAACTAGCTATTGTCTGGTAACAAGAGAAGAGAAGGGAAACGAAGTAGCATATTTTTGTTCATTGTTTGATGGCATCTAAATTATGATCCCAAATATTTTTTTCTAAGAAATCCAATAATACAAGTATTCAGAGTGGAGTACCAACATTGATTTACTGGGAAAGAGAAGTGTACTCTGTTTTGCTGCATAATGTTGAGGGAGAAGGAAAGGAAAATTAGTTGAGTAAACAAGTAAGAGACTGGTTCTCAGGGAAGCTGTCTGCCTGAAAAATCACAACTACTGCACCTACAGGTAAGCCCTGCACAGATGAGCATGCAGGGTCCAGCACAGAAGCCTTCTGTTCTTTGTGTAATTGGCAAGCTCCCAGGAAAAATTTTCCTCTCTTTTTCAGGCATAAACATGGTGGCCTCTGTGGGAACATGCACAGGGAGGAGGGGAGCTTACCTAAAACAAACCCACAGTTATATAAACAAGAGAAGCCCACTTTGTGCTTGACTAGAGACATACCCACAGCTGGTTATATAAAGGGAATTGTGCAGACAGTTTTTTATACATAGCTGAGAGGAGTTTCTTATAAAAGCTTTTTGATTCAACTGTAAAAACGGCAATCCACTTGGACGCCCTTGTCTGCTGCAGAGAGCTTCCTCCTTTTGCTTATTAAACTTTCACTCCCACCTCACCCGTGTATCCCCGTTCCTTAATCACCTTGGTGGTGAGATGAAGAACTCCAGGTGATACCTCACAAGAGAGACTGCTACATTGTGTTGCCTTGGCGAGACTGCAACTTTAAGAAGTGTGACTTTTATTGCTGCTGAATTATTTTATCTCCTACCCAATTGAAAATAAAGGATATAAAGTGCTTAGGTTGAACCCAAAGTCCTCTGCTCTAGGTAACATCTTCAGCAGCCACATTAGTAGAGGGATGGGTGGTAATGGTGGAGTAGATGTCTCTTTGCTTCTGACAGGGTGTCTGCTTATGTGTTAAACAAAAGAGTATGGTATATATTTCATTAAGAAATCTGCTAAAAAATGAAGTAAAACAGGTTCATCTTCTTGAAAGGCACAGTATTTGCTATGGCAGCAAGACCAAAAGGCTTAAGTAGCAAAAATGCGCGTAGTAGTTACAAACATTTTCATATAAACAAAACAATGTGAGCATCTGTATATGACAATAACTCATGCAAAAAATATTTTTTAACTGAGACAGAAATCATTTTATACATAACAAAAGTTATCACTGTATTCTGAGGTAACATATTGTTTGTATATAGATGTTGTAAATAATAACTTATTTAAGTTATTCATCATTTATACAACAAATAATTCTTTGGAATCTACAAAATGCTGGTTTTGTTCTAGGCACTGAATGTACAAATTGATTTAAAATATGTGTTCTTAGAGTGCGGTAGATTAAAAAATACAAAATAGACTGAACACAGTGGCTCATGCCTGTAGTCCCAGCAGTTTGGGAGGCCGAGGCAGGTGGATCACTTGAGGTCAGGAGTTCGAGACCAGCCTGACCAACATGGTGAAACCCCGTCTCTACTAAAAATACACAATTAGCCGAGGGTGGTGGCACATGCCTGTAGTCCCAGCTACTCAGGAGACAGAGGCAGGACAATCGCTTGAACCCGGGAGGTGGAGGCGGCAGTGGGCCGAGATTCCACCATTGCACTCCAGCCTAGGCAACAAGAGCAAAACTCTGTCTAATATATATACATACATTTTGTATATATACATACGTGTGTGTATATATATACATATATGTATATATGTATATGTATTATATACATATATATCTGTCTAATATATATACACATATACATATATATGTATATGTGTATATATACATATACATATATATGTATATGTGTATATATACATATATATACACACATATATATTAGAGGTTGTACTGCTGAAAACAAGAGCTATTAATAAAAAAATTTCAGGAAACTGTGATTATTTTCAATAGAAGTGGATATTTTAATACAGGTCTCTTGTTTTTTCTTGTGGAAATAAATGACAAGATGGAATTTCTGGGTGTTTGGTATCTGAATATTTAAGTATAGCAGGTATGGTCAGTTTTTCAAAGGCATTTTACCATCTTACTTGTCCATCAGCAACTCATAAGATATTATGTGGAACAACGTCCTCTCCAACAACCTCTAGTATCAGTCTTTGTAAAGTTTTTCAATTAAATGTGTGTTTTTTTGTTTTTGTTTTTGTTTTTTGAGACAGTCTCACCCTGTCACCCAGGCTGTAGTGCTGTGGTGTTATCTTGGCCCACTGCAGTCTCTGCCTTCCAGATTCAAGTGATTCTCCTGCCTTGGCCTCTCAAGTAGCTGGGACTACAGATGCCCCCCACCACACCCAGCTAATTTTTGTATTTTTAGTAAAGACAGGGTTTCACCATGTTGGCCAGGCTGCTCTCAATCCTGACCTCAGATGGTCCACCTGTCTCAGCCTCCCAAAGTGCTGCGATTACAGTCATGAGCCACCGCACTTGGCTGGGTTTTCGTTTTCTTTCTTTTATATATATATATATATACACACACACACACACACACACACACACACATATGTATATATACACGTATATGTATGTATATATGTATATATACACGTATATGTATGTACATATGTATATATACGTATATATATATATACACACACACACATACTTTAAGTTCTGGGATAAATGTACAGAATGTGCAGGTTTGTTACACAGGTATACATGTGTCATGCTGGTTTGCTGCAAAATGGGTGTCAGTTTTGCAGGTAATTGTTATATTATTAAAAGATAATGGAATACCTAGCTAAAAAAAATGCGAGGAGGCATTGATGGGCCCATGTTTACTGAGCACATCCTGACTCCAGAATTAGAAATCCAATTTATGCCTCTGCAGTCCAATAAAATTTTTCCTTAAGAATCCAAAGATCAGACTTTCATTTCAGCAAACACTCCAATATGGTTTCTCACCTACTCACTCCAACGAAGCTGCTCGTATCAAAACATAAGTGCTATCCATATTGTTAAATTATAAATTGAACCATAACTCCTCGGACTTCGTCTTAATTTATGTATCAGCAGCATTTCACATGGTTGATCTCTACCTCCCCTTTGTAAAACTTTTTTTATAGAATTCCAGAAAACTTAACCTACTTTCCCTCCACCATGTTTTTGATAATTACCCCTAGTCCTTTTTTGCAGGTTTCATCTTTAGTATTTTTTAAATGTTAGAGGATGATTAGGCTCACGACTTTGACTGCTTATCTTTCTTTGCTTTCTTACTGATTTTTGTGTCATTAATTTCCTGATATTTCATATTACACCAAAACACTGGACACTACACACAACACTCCCTGACTTATCCATGTGGATGTCAGTTAGGAATCTCAAAATTAATATGTCTATGTGGAGCCACTGAAACTCCCCAAATTTGCTCTTCCCCATTCTGTTTAATGGCAACTCCCATTGTATAGTTTCTCAGCTCAGTATTCTTGGTGCCCCCTTTTAATTCTGTCTCTGTAGCCCTGTCACTCTCTTTCTGTATCTGTCTGATTCTCTCCTTCTCTCTCCTCTCTCTCTGCTCGCTGTCATTCTTGCTCTCTCTCCCTGCTTCACACACACACAAACACACACAGACAGACACATGTACACACACACACACACACACACACACACACACACACACACACACATATTTTCAGATCTGATGTGTATGGAATTCCTGCCAGCTTTACCTTTAAAGTGTAGTAATTCCAAATGTTGTTTCCAAATTCACCTTCCCACCCCCACCACTTGGTAACTATAGTGCTTCCCTCACAAGGCCAAGTGCAGAGTTTTCTTGGGGAAATAATGAGAACTATTATACATTCTTGTTTCAAGGACCCTTAAAATTATAAGATTACCATATTTGATACTAATTTAAGCTTCTGTCATTGCCCCTTTTTCAATCCAGTCTCCACACAGCTACCACAGTGTGCAAGTAGAAGTCTCAGCCATATCACCACACTCCTGCTTTAATGTCCCTACTCCATTGCTTCTTTTCTCCTTCAGAAGAGTTTAAGCTTAATGAAGCTGGGCAACTTCACATATTTTTCCACGAGCTGGAGATCACTTGGTTTAAGGTAAGCGATCAGTAAATATTTTTAAATAACAGAATCCAGGAATAATAGTTTTGTTTCTTTGAGAGTACATTTACTTTTAAAAATCAAGAAAATAGATTGGTCAAGAGAATTCTGCTTGTTTTGATTTTGTTATCACTCGATTAGATTAACTGTGTTAGTATAAATGTCAGTTTGGAAAGCTATAAGCATTTCCTAAACTTTAAAATGAAAGGCATGGAATTTAAATATCTGCTCCTTTTATTTGAGCAACCAAAAACACAACTTTTTAAATATATTTTATGTATGTATGAAATCTAAATTTATTTTTCTCTCTTTATCCCTGAATACGTTTTAAAGTTATTCATGTCCTCATTTTTTATAATCCACTTTAGTAACATTTTAAAATATTTTTTCAACTTCATCAAGAATATCTTTGTGTTCCACTGAATAGCTTGCCAAATAATAAAACATTAGCAGTATAATTTCCTCATAAACATTATTTAATTTGTTTGGTTAACCATAGATTTCCTACTCTCAACTCATAATTTCATTCAAGCATAATATATTCTACTTGAGCTTTGCGGGGTTTTCATACCATGTATTTGTCATTGAAATTGGTTTTTGATATTTGAACCACTAGTTTTGAACCAACTGTATTGTTGGTTAGTCTGGTCTGTAGAATCTTTCTTTGTTTTGATTCTGTGGTTTATTCAATACAGAGTAGCTGTGCTACTGTAAATTTTGAGGTCAAAAGCTGAAAACATTTTATGTATTTTAAAACAAAGTGGATGGCATTTAAATATCTATTCCTTAAAATTTGGAAGAAAGGTTAACACCATATAAACCCAGAGCCTGTATTTTTAGATTAGTAGCATGTAGACCTTTTCAATTTCTTCTAAAGTTGAAAAAAATAAACATTTTGTATTCATAAAATGCTTGATAACAGAAGGTAAATACTTAATTTTCACTTAAAAGAAATTTGGTTACATTGAAAGGAAATTTGGCTAATATAAGTAAGTTAGATACATTTCTAATTAAAACAGTAATTTAAGATAAATAATGCTCAAAGAACCGTGGTCGTTGCATTTATTCCAGAGAGAGGACATTGATCCTGATCTGGCTGTAATAACATAGTAGGTAGAACTGCTTGCATGGACACCCAAGCAAGGAAGGGAAGCTGGTGTCTCAAGGGGTCCCCGCTGAGATGGAAAGGGGTCAGGGCCCAGACTGTTGATGTCGCCTGGACCCAACCACCATGTCTCAGAAGAAGAAATGACCCTCCCGTCCTGGTGCCGCCCCAAACAAGGAGCTTAGCAGTGTTGCACACAGGATAGTCCTTGCAGGAGACATGTTTGACAAGCTGCTGAGGTGCCTGATGGGGCCAGGCTCTTGTCATGAAATGAGTTTGCATCCTGAGGAAGACTTTTTATTGGAAACCTGGCAGGGATCCAATTTCCCCTTTGTCTTAACCCCGTAGGATCACAGTAGACAGGGAGGAGGTCACCCAGCTGGCTGTTCCTGCTTGGCCCCCACTTCCCAGACCCTTCCAGGCAGGGAGAGCCGCTGAGCTCACTCCATGGGCTGCCCACATGGGGTCTGGACCCAGCCGCCCTCCTGTGCCTGGCAGGCAGCTCCTGGGCCATCAGAGGACCCATTGTGTGGTGATCAGTGGCCCATCGCCTGCCCTCGTGGTGGGTGCAGTTCACAGGTGCTGCCCCAGGCCTGGCACAGTGGCCTTTTCAGCCTGTCCCAGGATAGGGGACATGAATGATCCTTGCCTGTGCCCCTTCGGACTACGTGAGTTTGGACACTCACTGCAGAAGTCCCTCCAGGTCCCTTTTCAACTGAGTTGTGGGGGACTTGCTTAGTCCTCACGCCCAGGGTCAGGAGAGGGGTGCAGAGTCTGCACCCTAAATCCCCTAGGGCTAGAGGGAGCTCTCCCAGGTGACCTCTGTCCTGTTCAGTGACATGAGTCCTCCCAGATGGCCTCAGCCCTCTCAGGTGACATGCTTCCATGGTGACTCTGGCTCTTGCAGGAAGTGGGCTACCACAGGGACATGAGCTGCCTAACTGCCATCCTCCTCCTGTATCTGCCAGAGGAAGACACCTTCTGGGCACTGGATCAGCTGATGGCCGAGGAGAGGCACTCCCTGCAGGGTAGGCAGACAGCTTCCCCCAGGGCCTCACGCAGCCAGGCCATGGGACGGCCACCCTGGCTGGGCGATCCTGACTTCTGGGCAAGGCAGCTTCCTTGCTTTCCAGCTTGTTAGGAGCCTTCAAGACATCCCTGCTGAGGGTCCCACGGGAGCCCAGAGCTGAACAGGGACCCTTTCACTTCAAGGCAGACACCTTTCATCCCCAACAGCAGAGGGTGCTGCAGCCTCCCCCTGGCCACCCTGTGTGTCCCAGAGCCACAGCTCTCTAGCCCTGAGTTCATGCAGGTGACTGTCACTTCCCCAAGAGTCCTCCTACCTCCCAGCTGGCCACACTCCCAGCTGCTCCCCCAGCCCACAGATGGGCCAATGAAGTCAAGATGGCAGTGTCTGCCCATCCCATGTCCCCCAGCCGGACCCCATGTCCGGGAGATGGCCATGTAGCCCCTCGGCACCCACCCCGTTCCCTCCACTGGCCACTGCCTGCCGCAGCCCTGCCTCACAGCCTCAAAGGCAGGCCTGCCCTCCGGGCACCTCTACCCAGGATGCTGCTGTGCAGTGCCTCCAGCTAGGGCCCATCTCCCTAGAGCTGAGGCCACATGGTAGGGTCACCTGATGGAAGGGAGGAAGGCCTCAGGGTCCGGGGTCCCCTGCCACTGCCCAGCTCTTCCAGCTGACGGCTCCACATCTTGGGAGTGGGCTCTGATGCATGATGGGTCAGGGGCTTCTCAGTTTTCTACAGCCCAAATACTGCCCAGCTCCGGAGGCTCCTATCCCACCAGGAGCAGGTATAACACAAATCCTCCCCAAAGATCATGCGGTACCTGCTGAGTGGAAGACACCCTCAACTCTTTCCTAGAGGCCCAGGGTTCCATGGGGCAGGGAAACAGGGAAAGATGGAGCTACTGGAGGGTCTGACAAGAGGCTGAGTCCCAGCCAGGGCCTCGCCCAAGGTGAGGATTCTCCATGGGTTTGGGGTTGGGTTTTCTTTTCCTGCCCTGGAGGAGGAGGCAGAGGTACTAGGATGGGGGCTGAGCTCCAGCTGAGCAGGGTTAAAGGAAGTGTGTCCACCAGGCATCTGTGCATGGGGGAGTTGTTGGGGAAGCACTGGCCACTGCCAAGTGTTCTGCCCCCGGGCAGCTCAGGGGGCCCTGAGCACCTATGGTCCAGGAAGGGCCGTGCATTGAGGTTTATTGAGTTGGCTCCTCTGGTGCTTCGTTGATGGGGGTAAGGAGGCAAATGGAGACCCCAGACCAGGGACCCTCCTGTCCCACAGTGCCCAGTTCCCCCAGGAGGACCTGGCTCACCCCAAGCCCACAGGAAGCACAGGGAAGTTTCTGCATGCCACAGAAACCAGGCTCTCCCCAAGAGGGGGCATCACACAGCAGGGGCCAGGCCTCAGGCCCAGTGCTATTTTCACATTATTCATTTTATAAGGTGATATGGTTTGGCTGTGTTGCCACCCAAATGTCATCTTGAACTGTAATTTCCATAAGCCTCATGTGTCACGGGAGGGACCCAGTGAGAGGTAACTGAATCATGGCGGCAGTTTCCCCCATGCTGTTCTCATGATAGTCAGTGAGTTCTCATGTGATCTGATGGTTTTATAAGCATCTGGCATTTCCCTTTCTTGAGGTGATGAATGCCCCATTTATACCCTGATGTGATTATTACACATTGCATGCCTGTGTCAAACTATCTCATGTACCCCATAAATATATACACCTACTATGTACTCATAGAAATTAAAAATAAAAATAAATTTAAAATAAACAGTGGGAGCTTTTAAAGGTGAGGTTTGCCCTCCAGCACTGGTCCCTGACAGGTGTGACCTTCACGTCATCTTTCCACATGATCCAGGCCCCCATCTGCAGAGGCCAACAGTTCCCAGAGTGACCTTCCTCAGAAAACAGGGTCTTGGAGGAGACAGAGGAGGGGGCCTTGTCCTCCCCACTGCACAGCCCCTCGTGGGGATTGGAAAGTGAGGGTCTCTGCCCACAAGTTGGCAGCCACCCTAAGCTCTTTTGTGGGAGGAAGCATAGGGAATATAGGTCAGCGCTGGGACAGCATTTCCTGATC